>NC_000017.11:26698998-26720420 GCF_000001405.40 Homo sapiens | reverse complement strand
TGAGCTCCCCAGGTTGGTAGTACTCCATGTTTATTGCTGTACAACAATGACAGGTAATATGTCCTGAAGACAATAGAAACAACATTCAAAGTCCTCCTAGATTCCACCTTACGTGATATGTCTCTTCCTTTGATTGGTCCTAATTTCTACCCTTTCTCTATTATAAACCATGAGTACAATGGCATTCAATGAGTTCTGTGAGTCAGTTCTGAACTGGCAGTTGGTGACAAAAGTGCGAATCATCTTACATGGCCTCTTCCTTTGAACTTTGCAGCTGGACCCAAACTCTGCACAATTTGGGCCAGAAGTCTCGTGTTGACATTGCAGCCTAAATTATCATGTAGTTTGTCTAACCCTCAATAAATTTGCTTTCATCAAATATTGTATTTGTTACCCAAAAATTACCATCATGTTTTTTTCTCCAAATAACTAACATTGGGAGAAATAGCCAGCTGAATCTGTAACTCAACAGAAACAAGTGATCCATATACCATATAAGTGGCCATTTCATTTTGCCTCCTTCCTCCAAATCTTAGCAACCTCAACCATTGCCATGAGCCACTGTAGGCCTACCGTCTACAAACAAGCAAGTATCTTTTAAAAACACTTCATACTCCCATTTGATAAATTTCCCAGCAAAGAGATGCTTACTTTAACTCTATGCAAGTGGCTCATATTCGCAAAGTCTGGAGATATTATTCATATAGTGTGAGAAAATCATCCCAGCGATGCCAGCACATTCTCCTTCCCATGATCTGCTTAGTTTGCAAACATATTGTGGCCGTAGGTGAGAGATTTGTATTTCACAGTACAACAATTTTATGGAGGTCATTGAAACTTAGGTTTAGCATTTTAGCACAGTCACCCATCACTGAATGACAGGGATACGTTCTAACAGATGCATCCATAGGCAATTTCATCATTTTGCAAACGTCAGAGAGAATATTACAAACACCTAGTTTGTACAGCCTACGACGTTTAGGTTATATGGTATAACCTCTCTCTCCTAGGCTACAAACCTGTGTTCTACATTACTATACTGAATACTGCAGGCAATAAGAACACAGTGGTAAGAGTTTATGTATGTAAACATACTTAAACATAGAAAAGTATGTAAAAATATGTATTATAATCTCATGGGACCACTTTTGTATATGTAATCCATCTTTGACTGAAATATTATTATACATGACATGACTCTATGACAAAAATAATACATTTTAGAAAATGTACACATGTATCAAACATATTAGTATAAAAATAA
Source organism: Homo sapiens (assembly GCF_000001405.40). Lineage (NCBI taxonomy): Eukaryota > Metazoa > Chordata > Mammalia > Primates > Hominidae > Homo > Homo sapiens. Next base: position 26,719,156 of record NC_000017.11, on the reverse strand, counting down.
AAATATTTATTCAGTGTAAGAATTTGTAATGATCACAGCTTATATTTAAGTACAGTTTCAAATGCCTAGTGCTATTACTATTTATTTCTTTGTGTATTTTAAACATGTATATAATAAATATTTTTCAGGTTCAACAATATATATCAATCCTACAGGCTCTTATAAATATTAGTTAAAATCAGTTGGTAAATTCATGTATATATATGCATACCTGTATCAGTGAGCGTGTGTGCATGTATGTTTGTGTAAATGTAATTGTATGTGTGTGTAAATGTAATTGGATGCATCCTTATATTTACCCTTACCTACAAGGTTTCCAAGATTCATTTATGATCTTTAGATGACGGGCATTTAAAGATTTACCAAATACAACTGTATTAGTGGAAAATATCAAGATGTTATTAAATTCATCTTGTGCACATAATTGTTTCTATAAATTTATGTTTCTTGCAAAACTTGCAGTAATGCTCATGCACAAAATAATTTTCTAAATAAAAAATAAAAATGTTTTCTCAGTCATTAATTCTTAAAATTATTTCTCCCCAATAATTAATGTGAATTAATTCTTAATTCTTAATTATAGAATAATGTTGCCCTTCAGAGTTCGGAAATTTTTACATGTTGTACACATTTCACTAACCAGAACAACTTCTGAAATATTGGCATTAATTAATGTCACTCAGCAATTATTGATTTCAAAGGCATTAAATACCATTCATATTCTGAATCACAAGGGTACTTTGGCATCTTATTTAATCAAGCTCTTTGTATCATCATCTACAATTTAATTACTTAACAAACATTTCTCTGTGTTAGAAAGATTGAGCAGGTTATTGTGCTTTTTTAAGATGCAACTTTTGCTTAATCTAGAGATAGGCAATGCTCCCTATAAGGGACAAGGAGAAAAATAAATGAGCAATAGAGATGTGACAGGCATGGAAAAAGACACTACATTTATCAAACAAATAGGGCCATGGATGACGATAATGGGGATCAAATCTTGAGATACTGACTCAGTTTATAACCGCACTGTATAATAGAGCAAATCATTTGTTAATTTTTTTACAAATGGAATTTAATTTAATTAAGATGAATACAGTGTTTTAAACAAGGCAGGTCATCTTAAAATAAAATAGTGGAATAAAGTGATAAAACTAATGTAAAAATCGTAAACATTTTATAAAGAATTTTTGTCATGTAATTTAATATTTTTGTTCATTTAAAACCACCCAAATCAAAATAATTTTATCTTAATTAACAAATAATCATCAGAAGTTTAACTAATTTTTACTTTATAATACTAGGTTTAAAAATTCTTAACTATATTTTTAATCACATATGCTTATATATAAAATAGACATAGGATATATATTTACATGTTCACAATATTATATTGTAATTGCTCCTATGGATGTGGTTTTTCAATAGAATTAATAAGTACTTTTAAAAAGTTTCAATTTCAATGATGTATATGATTTATTTTTCTTAGACAAAGCATACATATATTGATAGGTAATAATATGAAAATCTTCTAAAGGCATTACAGGAACACGAAAATGTAATTAAATACTCACTAATTTCTAATGTTTTATGTAAGCGGAACACATTTAACTGAAAATTGCTTTTATATAATACTCAAACGAGACTAAAAACATTTTAACCAGCGGAGTAAGTCTTCAAATTGATAATCTGAACTATATAAGAGGTGAAATTTCAGGCACTCAAATATTTGAAATGCTACAAAATATTTATATAAACTATTATTTCCCAATTTCTGTTTGTAGAGTGCTATACAGTAATCAATATAAATGACATCTCAAGTCTTTCTATAGCTTTGACCACATTTACCTCCTAATTTTAATTATTAGTATGTTGGAGCAGTGCATACAACTAGATTCCGATCTTCCTTTTTAATGAGTAAAAATATGTCCTTTGAGACAGCATTGAAGAAAGAGCACCTTGTATAAATTCAATGCCAAGAGACAAGATATTCTTGATTCTGAAGTCTTGTTCTTTTATACAGCAATGTAATTAATAAGTAGAAAAGCAGGACATAGATGTGGAGCCTATTTTAATTAAAAAAGTCTATAGATTTTGATGATAAAATTTAAAAATCTACTATATTTAGTTAGTTACAAAAAACCAGGTTGTGGGAACACATTTGGTCAATAAAACACCCCTACCAAGTGCTGACAAGAAAAAAAGTTAGGTACAACTTTTCTTCTCTGCAGATGGCCTGAGATGGGTTAATTTGAAAGAATGCTTCCAAACGTGAGGTGACCCCTGAGAACAGCAAAATCCACTGCTGTCTCCCACATTCAGTTTCTCAGTCTGTGCTCTTTTAATTTTGCGGGGAGGGAAGCCAGCCCTTTAAACCAATCTTCAGCATGATGGCAGAGCCAAGGAGTGTGGACAGGTGGCACGGTGTCTGACTTTGTTCCAGCAGCCACTTGGGCTTTCTCTGGATCTTCTCTGCCCTAGGGATAGCACCACTATTGAAAACATATCTTTGTGACAATCTCTATGCCAGGAACTCCTGAAATCGCTCCAAATGTCCACTTGCAGATTCTACAAAAAGAGAGTTTCAAAACTGCTCAATCAAAAGAATGTTTCAACTCTGTGAGATGAATGCACACATCACAAAGAATTTTCTCAGAATGCTTCTGTGTAATTGTTATCTGAAGACATTTGCTTTTCTACAGGCCTGAAAGCGCTCCAAATATACACTTGCAGATTCTGCAAAAAGAGAGATTCAAAACTACTCAATCAAAAGAAAGATGCAACTCTGAGAGTTGAATGCATACATCACAAAGAAGTTTCTCTGTATTATTCAGTGTAGTTTTTATTTGAAGATATTTCCTTTTCCACCATAGGCCGCAAAAGGCCCCAAATATCCACTTGCAAATTCTACCAAAAGAGAGATTCAAACCTGCTCAATGAGAAGAAAAGTTCAACTCTGTGAATTGAATGCACACCTCACAAAGAAGTTTCTCAGAATGCTTCTGTGTAGTTTTTATGTGAAGATATTTCCTTTTCCACAATAGGTCTCAAAGCCCTCCAAACATCCACTTGCTGATTCTACAAAAAGAGAGATTCAAAACTGCTCAATCAAAAGATAGGTTCAACTCTATCAGTTGAATGCACACATCACAAAGGAGTTTCTCAGAATGCTTCTGTGTAGTTTTTATGTGAACATATTTGATTTTGCACAGTAGGCCTCACAGTGCTCCAAATATCCACTTGCAGATTCTACAAAAATAGAGATTCCAAACTGCTCAATCAAAGATAGGTTCAATTCTGTGAGTTGAATGCACACATCATGAAGAAGTTTCTGATAATCCTTCTGTATAGTTTTTCTTTCAAGATATTTTGTTTTCCACTACAGGATGCAAAGTTCTCTAAATATCCACTTGCAAATTCTACAAAAAGATTGTTTCAAGACTGCTCAATCAAAAGAAAAGTTCAACTCTGTGAGATGGATGCACACATCACAAAGGCATTTCTCAGAATGCTTCTGAGTAGTTTTTATGTGAAGATATTTCCTTTTCCAAAATAGACCTCAAAGGGCTCCAAATATCCACATGCAGATTCTACAAAAAGAGGGCTTCAAAACTGCTCAATGAAAAGAAAAGTTCTACTTTGTGAGACGAATGCACACATCACAAAGAAGTTTCTCAGAATGCTTCTGTGTAGTTTGTGTCTGGCGATATTTCCTTTTCCACGGTAGGCCTCAAAGAGCTCCAAATATACACTTGCAGATCCTACAAAAAGAGTGCTGCAAAACTGCGCAATCATAAGATAGGTTCAACCGTGTGAGATGGATGCACACATCACAAAGAAGTTTCTCAGAATGTTTCTGTGTAGTTTTTAATTGAAGATATTTCCTTTTCCACCATAGGCCACAAAGGGCTCCAAATATCCACTTGCAGATTCTGCAAAAAGAGAGATTCAAAACTGCTCAATCAAAAGATAGGTTCAACTCTCTGACTTGAATGCACACATCCCAGAGAAGTTTCTCAGAATGCTTCTGTGTAGTTTTTATGTGAAGATATTTGCTTTTCCACAGTAGGCCTCAAAGGGCTCCTGATATCCACCTGCAGATTCTGCAGAAAGAGAGATTCAGAACCGCTCAATCAAAAGATAGGTTCAGCTCCGTGAGTTGAATGCATACATCACAAAGAAGTTTCTCTGAATGCTTCTGTGTAGTTTTTATTTGAAGATATTTCCTTTTCCACCATAGGGCGCAAAGGGCTCCAAATGTCCACTTGCAGATTCTACAAAAAGAGAGACTCAAAACTGCTCAATGAGAAGACAAGTTCAACTCTGTGAGTTGAATGCACACTTAACAAAGAAGTTTCTCAGAATGCTTCTGTGTAGTTTTTATGTGAAGATATTTCCTTTTCCACAATAGGCAACAAAGCTCTCCAAACACCCACTTGCAGATTCTGCAAAAAGAGAGATTCGAAACTGCTCGATCAAAAGATAGGTTCAACTCTGTGAGTTGAATGCACATCACAAAGAAGTTTCTCAGAATACTTCTGTATAGTTATTATGTGAAGATATTTGCTTTTCCACAGTAGGCACCAAAGGGCTCCAATTATCCACCTGCAGCTTCTGCAAAAAGAGAGATTCAAAACTGCTCAATGAGAAGATAAGTTCAACTTTTTGGGTTGAATGCACACCTCCAAAGAAGTTTCTCAGAATGCTTCTGAGTAGTTTTTATGTGAAGATATTTCCTTTTCCACAATAGGCCTCAAAGGGCTCCAAATATCCACTTGCAGATTCTACAAAGAGTGTTTCAAAACTAATCAATCAAAAGAAAGGTTCAACACTGTGTGATGAATGCACACATCATAAAGAAGTTTCTCAGAATGCTTCTCTGTAGTTTTTATCTGAATATATTTGCTTTTCCATGGTGTTCCTCAAAGCGCTCCAAATATCCACTTGCAGATTCTAAAAAAAGAGTGTTGCAAAACTGTGCAATCATAAGATAAGTTCAACCCTGTGAGATGAATGCACACATCACAAAGGAGTTTCTCAGAATGTTTCTGTGTAGTTTATATTTGAAGATATTTCCTTTTCCACCACAGGCTGCAAAGGGCTCCAAATGTGCACCTGCACATTCTGCAAAAAGAGAGATTCAAAACTGCTCAATCAAAAGATAGGTTCAACTCTGTGAGTTGAATGCATACATCACAAAGAAGTTTCTCAGAATGCTTCCGAGTAGTTTTTAATGTGAAGATATTTCCTTTTCCACCGTAGGACTCAAAGGGCTCCAAATATCCACTTGCAGATTCTACAAAAAGAGTGTTTCAAGACTGCTCAATCAAAAGAGAGGTTCAACTCTGTGAGATGAATGCACACTGCACAAAGAAGTTTCTCAGAATTCTTCTGTGTAGTTTTTACCTGAAGAAATATGCTTTTCCACGGTATGCCTCAAGGCGCTCCAAATATCCACTTGCAGATTCTAGAAAAAGAGTGTTTCAAAACTGCTCAATCATAAGATAGGTTCTACCCTGTGAGATGAATGCACACATCACAAATAAGTTTTTCAGAATGTTTCTATGTAGTTTTTATTTGAAGATATTTCCTTTTCCACAATAGGCCACAAGGGGCTCCAAATATCCACTTGCAGATTCTGCAAAAAGAGAGATTCCAAACTGCTCAATCAAAAGATAATTTCAGCTCTGTGAGTTGAATGCACACATCCCAAAGAAGTTTCTCAGAATGCTTCTGTGTAGTTTTTATGTGAAGATACTTGCTCTTCCACGGTAGTCCTCAAAGGGCTCCAAATATCCACTGGCAGATTCTGCAAAAAGAGAGATTCTACACTGCTCAATGAAAAGATAGGTTCAACTCTGTGAGTTGAATTTACACATCACAGAGGAGTTTCTCAGAATGCTTCTGTGTAGATTTTATGTGAAAATATTTGATTTTAAGAGTAGGCCTCACAATGTTCCAAATATCCACTTGCAGATTCTACAAAAAGAGAGATCCAAAACTGCTCAATCAAAGGAAAAGTTCAACTCTGTGAGTTGAATGCATACATCACAAATAAGTTCCTCTGAAAGCTTCTGTATAGTCTTTATTTGAAGATATTTCCTTTTCCACCATAGTGTGCAAAGGGCTCCAAATATCCTCTTGTGGATTCTACAAAAAAAGAGATTCAAAACTGCTCAATGAGAAGATAAGTTCGACTCTGTGAGTTGAAGGCACACCTCTCAAAAAAGTTTCTGAGGATGCTTCTGTGCAGTTTTTATTTGAAGATATTTCCTATTCCACCATGGGGCGCAAAGGGCTCCAAATATCCACTTGAAGATTCTACAAAAAGAGAGTTTCAAAACTGCTCAATGAGAAGATAAATTCAACTCTGTGAGTTGAAGGCCCAGCTCACAATGAAGCTTCTCAGAATGCTTCTGTGAAGTTTTAAGGTGAAGATTTTTGCTCTTCCACAATAGGCCTCAAAGCTCTCCAAACATTCACTTGCAGATTCTGCAAAATAGAGATTCAAAACTGCTCAATCAAAAGATAGGTTCAACTCTGTGAGTTGAATGCACACATCACGAAGAAGTTTCTGAGAATGCTTCTGTGTAGTTTTTATTTGAAGATATTTCCTTTTCCACCCTAGGGCGCAAAGGGCTCCCAACATCCACTTGCAGATTCAACAAAAAGAGAGATTCTAAACTGCTCAATCAAAAGATAGGTTCAAGTCTGTGAGTTGAATGCACACATCACAAAGAAGTTTCTCAGAATGATTCTGTGTAGTTTTTATGTGAACATGCTTGATATTCCACAGTAGGCCTCAGAGTGCTCCCAATATCCATTTGCAGATTCTACAAAAAGAGAGATTCAAAGCTGCTCAATAAAAAGATATGTTCAACTCTGTGAGTTGAATGCACACATCACGAAGAAGTTTCTGAGAATGCTTCTGTGCAGTTTTTATTTGAAGATGTTTCCTTTTCCACCATAGGGCACAGAGGGATCTAAATATCCACTTGCAGATTCTACAAAAAGAGAGATTCTAAGCTGCTCAATCAAAAGATAGGTTCAACTCTGTGAGTTGAATGCATACCTAACAAAGAAGTTTCTCAAAATGCTTCCATGTAGTTTTTATGTGAAGATATTTTCTTTTCCTCAATAGGCAAAAAAGCTCTCCAAACATCCACTTGCAGATTCTGCAAAAAGAGAGATTCGAAACTGCTCAATCAAAAGATAGGTTCAACTCTGTGAGTTGAATGCACACATCACAAAGAAGATTCTCAGAATGCTTCTGTGTAGTTTTTATGTGAACATATTTGATTTTAAACAGTAGGCCTCACAGCGCACAAAATATCCACTTGCAGATTCTAAAAAAAGAGAGAATCAAAACTGCTCAATCAAAAGATAGGTTCAATTCTGTGAGTTGAATTCACACATCACAAAAAAGTTTCTCTGAATGCTTCTGTGTAGTTTTTATGTGAAGACATTTGCTTTTCCACAGTAGGCCTCAAAGGGCTCCAAACATCCACATTCAGATTCCACAAAAAGAGGGATTCAAAACTGCTCAATCAAAAGATATGTTCAACTCTTTGAGTTGAATGCACGCATCACGAAGAAGTTTCTCATAATGCTTCTGTGTAGTTTTTATGTGAAGATATTGCCTTTTCCACAATAGGACTCGAAACTCTCCAAACATCCACTTGTAGATTCTACTAAAAGAGAGATTCAAAACTGTTCAATGACAAGAAAATTTCAACTCTGTGAGTTGAATGCATACCTCACAAAGAAGTTTCTCAGAATGCTGCTGTGTAGTTTTTATGTGAGGATGGTTCCTTTTCCACAATAGGCCTCAAAGGACTCCAAATATCCACTTGGAGATTCTACAAAGAGGGTGTTTCAAAACTGCTCAATCAAAACAAAGGTTGAACCCTGTGAGATGATGGCACACATCACAAAGAAGTTTCTCAGAATGCTTCTGCATAGTTTTTATCTAAAGATATTTGCTTTTCCACAGAGGGCCTCAAAGCACTCCTAAAGTCCACTTACAGATTCTAAAAAAAGAGTGTTTCAAAACTGCTCAATCATAAGATAGGTTCAACCCTGTGAGATGTATCCACACATCTCAAAGTAGTTTCACACAATGCTTCTGTGTACTTTTTACGTGACGATATCTGCTTTACCGTGGTGGGCTTCAAAGTTCTCCAAATATCCACTTACAGATTATACAAAAAGAGTGTTTCAAAAATGCACAATCCTAAGATAGGTTCAAACCTGTGAGATGAATGCACACATCACAGAGCAGTTTCTCAGAATGTTTCTGTGTACTTTTTCTTTGAAGATATATCCTTTCCACCAGAGGCCGCAAAGGGCTCCAAATATCCCCTTGCAAATTGTACAAAAAGAAAGATTCAAAACTGCTCAATGAGAAGAAAATTTTAACTCAGTGAGTTGAATGCACACATCACAAAGAAGTTTCTGAGAATGCTTCTGTCCAGTTTCTATGTGAAGATACTTCCTTTTCCAACACAGGACTCAAAGCGCTCGAAATATCCACTTTCATATTCTTCAAAAGAGTGTTTCAAAACTACTCTATCAAAAGAAAGGTTCAACTCTGTGAGTTGAATGTACACATCACAAAGAAGTTTTTGAGAATGCTTCTGTCTAGTGTTTATGTGAAAATATACCCGTTTCCAGTGAAGACCTCAAAGCGGTCCAAATATCCACTTGCAGATTATACAAAAAGAGTGTTTCCAAACTACTCTACCAAAAGAAAGGTTCAACTCTTTGAGTTGAGTGCACACATCACAAAGCAGTTTCTAACAATGCTTCTGTCTAGTTTTTATATGAATATATATCCTTTTCTACCATTGGCCTCAAAGCGCTCTAAAAATCCACTTCCAGATTCTACAAAAAGAGTGTTGTAAAACTGCTCTATCAAAAGAAATGTTCAACTCTGTGTGTTGAATGCAAAAATCACAAAGTAGTTTCTGAGAATGCTTCTTTCTAGTTTTTATATGAAGATATTTCCTTTTTGACCATAGGCCTCAAAGCGCTCCAAATCTCCACTTGCACATTCTACAAAAGGAGGGTTTCAAAATTGCTCTATCAAAATGAAGGTTTATCTTTCTGAGTTGAATGCACACATCACAAAGAAGTTTCTGAGAATGCTTCTGTCTAGTTTCTATGTGAAGATATTTCCTTTTCCACGACAGGCCTCACAACGCTACTAACGTCCACTACCGGATTCTAAAAAAAGACCGTATCAAAACTGCTCTAGCGAAAGAAAGGTTTAAGTCTGTGAGTTGAATGCACACATCACAAAAACGTTTCTGAGAATTCTTCTGTCTTCTTTTTATGTGAAGAAATTACCGTTTCCAAGGAAGGCCTCAAAGCGGTCAAAATATCCAATGGTGGATTCTACAAAAAGAGTGTTTCAAAACTGATATATCAAAAGGAATGTTCAACTCTGTGAGTTGAATGCACACATCACAAACAAGTTTCTGAGAATGCCTCTGTCTAGTTTCTACGTGAAGATATATCCTTTTACACAACAGGCCTCAAAGTGATCCAAATGTCCATTTGCAGATCCTACAAAAAGAGCGTTTCAAAACTGCTCTATCAAAAGGAAGGTTCAACTCTGTGAGTTGAATGCACACATCCCAAAGTAGTTTCTGAGAATGCTTCTGTCTAGTTTCTGTATGAAGATATATCATTTTTCAACCTTAGGCCTCAAATCGGTCCAAATATCCACTTGCAGATTCTACAAAAAGAGTGTTTCAAAACTGCTGTATCAAAAGGAAGGTTCAACCCTGTGAGTTGAATGGACACATCACATAGAAGTTTCTCAGAATGCTTCTGTGTAGTTTTTATGTGAAGATTATCCCTTTTCCACGGTAGGCCTCAAAGCGCTCCAAATATCCACTTCCAGATTCTACAAAAAGATAGTTTCAAAATTACTCTATCCAAAGGAATGCTCAACTCTGTGAGTTGAATGCAAACATCACAAAGTAGTTTCTGAGAATGCTTTTGTCAAGTTTTTTTATGAAGATATTTCCTTTTCTACCATAGGCTCAAAGCACTCCGAATTTCCACTTGCAGATTCTAGAAAAAGAGCGTTTCAAAACTGTTCTACCAAAAGGAAGGTTCAACTCTCTGAGTTGAATGCACATATCACAAAGAATTTTCTGAGAATGCTTCTGTCTAGTTTCTATGTGAAGAGATTTCCTTTTCCTCCACAGGCCTGAAAGTGCTCCAAATGTCCACTTACAGATTCTACAAAAAGAGTGTTTCAAAACTGCTCTTTAAAAGAAAAGTTCAACTCTGTGAGTTGAATGCACACAAGACAACGAAGTTTCTGAGAATGTTTCTGTCTACTTTTTATGTGAAAATATTCCCGTTTCCAACAAAGGACTCAAAGAGGACAAAATGTCCACTTGCAGATTCTGCAAAAACAGTGTTTCAAACCTGCTCTATCAAAAGGAATGTTCAACTCTGTGAGTTGAATGCAAATATCACAAAGTAGTTTCTGAGAATGCTTCTGTCTGGTTTTTATATGAAGATTCATGCTTTTCTACCATGGGCCTCAAAGCGCTACAAATACAAACTTGCATATTCTACAAAAAGAGTGTTTCAAATTGCTCTCTCAAAAGGAAGGTTCAACGCTGTGGGATGAATGCACACATCACAAACAAGTTTGTGTGAATGATTCTGTCTAGTTTATATGTGAAGATATTTCCATTTCCAACGGAGGCCTCAAAGCGCTCCAAATATCAAATTCCAGATTTTACAAAAAGAGTGCTTCAAAACTGCCCTATCAAAAAGAAGGTTCAACTGTGTGAGTTGTAAGCACATATCACAAAGAAGTTTCTGAGAATACTTCTGTCTATTTTTATGAGAAGATATTCCCGTTTCCTCCGAAGACCTCAAAGAGCTCCAAATATCCACTTGCAGATTCTACAAAAAGAATGTTTCATAACTGCTCTATCAAAAGGAATCTTCAACTCTGTGAGTTGAATGTAAACATCACAAAGTAGTTTCTGAGAATGCTTCTGTGTAGTTTTCATATTTAGATATGTCCTTCTCTAAAATAGGCCTCAAAGCACTCCAAATATCCACTTCTAGATTCTACAAAAAGAGTGTTTCAAAACTGCTCTATCAAAAGAAAGGTTCAACTCTGGGAGTTCAATGCACACATCACAAAGAGGTTTCTTAGAATGCTTCTTTCTAGCTTTTATGTTAGGATATTCCCGTTTCCACCGTTGAACTCAAAGGGCTCCAAATATCCACTTGCAGATTTTACAAAACGAATGTTTCAAAACTGCTCTATCAAAAGGAATGTTCAAGTCTGTGAGTTGAATGCACACATCACAAAGACTTTTCTGAGAATGCTTCTGCCTAGTTTCTATGTGAAGATATTTCCTTTTCTGCCACAGGCCTCAAAGTGCTACAAATGTCCACTTGCAGATTCCACAACAAAAGTGTTTCAAAACTGCTCTATCAAAAGAAAGGTTCAACTCTATGACTTGAATGCACACATCAGAAAGAAGTTTCTGAGAATGCTTATGTCTACTTTTTATGTGAAGATGTTCCTGTTTCCAACGAAGGTCTCAAGGCGGTCCAAATATCCACTTGCAGGTATTGTAAAAACAGTGTTTCAAAACTGCACTATAAAAAGTAAGGTTCAACTCTGTGAGTTGAATGCACACATCACAAAGTAGTTTCTGAGACTGCTTTCGAGTAGTTTTTATGTGAAGATATTTCCTTTTCCACCATAGGCCTCAAAGCGCACAAAATATACACTTGAACATTGTAACAAAAGAGTGTTTCAAAACTGCACTATCAAAAGAAAGGTTCAACTCTGTGAGTTGAATGCACACATCACAAAGAATTTTCTGAGAATGCTTCTTGATAGTTTCTAGTTGAAGATATTTCCGTTTCCACCACAGGCCTCAAAACCCTCCAAATATCCACTTGCAGATTCTACAAAAAGAGTGTTTCAAAAGTGCTCTATCAAAAGGATGGTTCATCTCTGTGAGTTGAGTGCAGACATCACAATGAAGATTCTGAGAATGCTTCTCTCTAGTTTCTATGTGAAGATATTTCCTTTTAAGCAACAGGCCTCAAAGTGCGCCAAATGACCACTTGAAGATTCTACAAAAACAGTGTTTCAAAACTGTTCTACCAAAAGAAAGGGTTAACTCTGTGAGTTAAATGCACACATCACAAAGGAGTTTCTGAGAATGATTCTGTCTACTTTTTCTGTGAAGATATTCCCGTTTCCAACGAAGACCTCTAAGCGGTCCAAATATCCACTTGCAGATTCTGCAAAAAGAGTTTTTCAAAACTGCTCTATCAAAAGGAATATTCAACTCTGGGGGTTGAAGGCAGACATCACAAAGTTGTTTCTGAGATTGTTTCTCTCTGGCTTTTATATGAAGGTTCTTACTTTTCCACCACAGGCCCCAAAGCGCTCCAAATATCCACTTGCAGATTCTACAAAAAGAGTGTTTCAAAACTGCTCTATCAAAAGGAAGGTTCACCTCTGCGAGTTGAATACACACATCACAGAGTTGTTTCTGACAATGCTTCTGTCTTCTTTTGATGTGAAGACATTCCCTTTTCCTCCAAAGGCCTCAATGTGTTCCAAATATTCACTTGCAGATTCTACAAAAAGAGTGTTTCAACACTGCTCTAATAAAAGGAAATTTCAACTCTGTGAGTTGATTGCACAAGTCACAAAGAAATTTCTGACAATTCTTCTGTCTAGTTTTTATGTGAAGATATTCCCGTTTCCACAGGAGGCGTCAAAGCTGTCCAAATATCCAGTTGCAGATTCTACAAAAAGAGTGTTTCAAAACTGCTCTATGAAAAGGGATATTCAACTCTGTGAGTTGAATGCGAACATCAAAAATAAGTTTCTGAGAATGCTTCTGACTAGTTTCTATGTGAAGATATTTCCACTTCTACCACAGGCCTCAAAGTGCTCCAAATATCCACTTGCAGATTCTACAAAAAGAGTGTTTCAAAAGTGCTCTATCAAAAGAAATGTTCAACTCTGTAAGTTGAATGCACACATAACAAAGAAGTTTCTGAGAATGCTTCTGTCTAGTTTATATATGAAGATATATCCTTTTCTACCATAGACTTCAAAGCACTCTAAATATCTACTTGCAGATTCTACCAAAAGATTGTTTCAAAAATGCTCTATCAAAAGGAAGGTTCAACTCTCTGAGTTGAATGCAAACATCACAAAACAGTTTTTGAGAATGCTTCTGTCTAGTTTTTATGTGACGATATTCCCGTTTCCATCATAGGCCTCAAAGCGCTCCAAATATCCACTTCCAGATTCTAAAAAAAAAGTGTTTCAAAACTGCTCTATCAACAGGAATGTTCAACTTTGTGAGTTGAATGCAAACATCCAAAGTAGTTTCTGAGAATGATTCTGTCTAGTTTTAATATGAAGATATTTCCTTTTCTACCATAGGCCTCAAAGCGCTCCAAATATCCGCTTTAAGATTCTACAAAAAGAGTGTTTGAAAACTGCTCTATCAAAAGGAAGGTTCAATTCTGTGAGTTGAATCCATACATCACAAATAATTTTCTGACAATGCTGTTGTCTAGTTTCTATGGGAATATATTTCCTTTTCCACCAAATCCCTCAAAGACCTCCAAATGTCCACTTGCAGATTCTAAAAAAAGAGTGTTACAAAACTGCTCTATGAAAAGAAAGGTTCAACTCTGTGAGTTGAATGCACACATCACAAAGGAGTTTCTGAGAATGCTTCTGTCTGCTTTTTATGTGAAGATATTTCCTTACCCTCCACATACCTCAAAGCTCTTTAAATATCCACCTGCAGATTCTACATAAACAGCGTTTCAAAACTGCTCTATCAAAAAAAGGTCCAACTCTGTGAGTTGAATGCACACATCACAAATAAGTTTCTGAGAATGTTTCTGTCTAGTTTCTAAGGGAAGATATCCCCGTTTCCAACGAAGGCCTCAAAGCACTCCAAATATCCATTGGAGATTCTACAAAAAGAGTGTTTCAAACCTGCTCTATCAAAAGCAAGGTTCAAATCTGTGAGTTGAACGCACACATCACAAAAAGCTTCTGAGAATGCTTCTGTCTACTTTTTATGTGAAGCTAATCTGGTTTCCAACAAAGGCCTCAAGGCGGTCCACATATCCACTAGCTGATTCTAGAAAAAGAGTGTTTCAAAACGATTCTATCAAAAGGAATGTTCAACTCTGTGAGTTGAATGCAAACATTACACATTAGTTCTTGAGAATGCTTCTCTTTAGTTTTTATATGAAGATATTTCCTTTCTACCATAGGCCTCAAAGCAGTCCAAATATCCACTTGCAGATTCTACAAAAAGAGTGTTTCAAAACTGCTCTATCAAAAGGAAGGTTCAACTCTGTGAGTTGAATGCACACATCACAAAGAAGTTTTGGAGAATGCTTCTGTCTAGTTTCTATGTCAAGATATTTCCTTTTCCACCACAGGCCTCAGAGCACTCCAAATGTCCACTTGCAGATTCTACAAAGAGAGTGTTTCAAAACTGCTCTGTCAAAAAGAATATTCAACTCTGTGAGTTGAATGCACACATCAGAAAGAAGTTTCCTAGAATGCTTCTGTCTCCTTTTTATGTGAAGCTATTCCCTTTTCCAACCAAAGCCTTAAAGCGGCCCAAATATCCACTAGCAGATTCTAAAAAAAGAGTGTTTCAAAACAGCTCTTTCAAAAGGAATGTTCATCTCTGTGGGTTGAATGCACACATCACAAAGGACTTTCTCAGAATGCTTCTGTCTAGTTTTTATATAAAGATATTTACTTTACTACCATAGGCCAAAAAGCGCTCCAAATATCCATTAGCAGATTATACAAAAAGTTTGTTTCAAAACTCTTCTATGAAAAGGAAGGTTCAATTCTGTGATTTGAATGCACACATCACAAAGAAGTCTCTGAGAATGCTTCTGTGTAGTTTTTATATGATGATATTCCCGTTTCCACGGTATGCCTTAAAGGGTTCCAAATAACCACTTCCTTTTTCCACAAAAAGAGTGTTTCAAAAGTGCTCTATCAAAAGGAATGTTCAACTTTGTGAGTTGAGTGCAAACATCGCCAAGTAGTTTCTGAGAATGATTCTGTCTAATTTTTATATGAAGAAATTTCCTTTCCTACCATAGTCCTCAATGCGCTCCATATATCAAATTGCAGACTCTACAAAAAGAGTGTTTCAAAAGTGCTCTATCAAAAGGAAGGTTCAACTCTGTGAGTTCAATGCACACATCACAAAGAAGTTTCTGAGATGCTTCTTTCTACTTTTTATGTGAAGCTATTCCTGTTTCCAACGAAGGACTCAAATCTTTGAAACTGTCACTTGCAGATTCCACAAAAAGAGGGTTTCAAAACTGCTGTATCAAAAGGAATGTTCAACTGTGTGAGTTTAATGCACACATCACGAAGCAGTTTCTGAGAATGCTTCTGTCTAGTTTTTATATGAAGATTCCTCCTTTTCTACCATAGGCCTCAAATCGCTCCAAATATCTACTTGAAACACATAGAGTGTTTCAAAACTGCTTTGTCAAAAGGAAGGTTTTACCCTGTTAGTTGAATGCACACATCACAAAGTTTCCGAGAAAGCTTCTGTCTAGTTTTTATGGGAAGATATTCCCTTTTCCGCCGTAGGCATCAATGCACCCCAAATATCCACTTGCAGATTCTGCAAAAAGATTGTTTCAAAACTGCTTTGTCAAAAGGAAGGTTTTACCCTGTTAGTTGAATGCACACATCACAAAGTTTCTGAGAAAGCTTCTGTCTAGTTTTTATGGGAAGATATTCCCTTTTCCGCCGTAGGCATCAATGCACCCCAAATATCCACTTGCAGATTCTGCAAAAAGATTGTTTCAAAACTGCTCTATCAAAAGGAATGTTCAACTCTGGGAGTTGAATGCAAACATCACAAAGCAGTTTCTCAGAATGCTTCTGCCTGGTTTTTGTAAGAAGATTCTTGCTTTTCTACCATAGGCCTCAAATCACTCCAAATATCCACTTGCAGACTCTAGAAAAAAAGTGTGTTTCAAAACTGCTCTGTCAAAAGAAAGGTTCAACTCCGTGAATTGAATGCACACATCACAAGGAAGTTTCTGAGAATGCTTCTGTCTCCTTTTTATCTGAAACTATTCCCGTTTCCAACGAAGGCCTCAAATCGCTCCCAATATCCGCTTGCAGTTTCTATAAAAAGATTGTTTCAAAACTGCTCTGTCAAAAGTAATGTTCAACTCTGTGAGCTGAATGCACACAGAACAAAGTAGTTTCTGAGAATGCTTCTGTCTACTTTTTATATGAAGATATTTTCTTTTCTACCGTAGGCCTCAAAACGGTCCAAATATCCACTGGCAGATTCTACAAAAAGACCGTTTCAAAACTTCTCTTTCAAAAGGATTTTTCAATTCTGTGAGTTGAATGCACACATCACAACGAAGTTTCTGATAATGCTTCTGTCTAGTTTTTATGTGAAATTATTCCCATTTCCACCAAAGGCCTCAAACAAGTCCAAATATCCACTTGCAGATACTACAAAAAAAGTGTTTCAAAACTGCTCTGTCAATAGGGAGGTTCAACTCTGTGAGTTGAATGCACACATCACAAAAACTTTTGGTGAATGCTTCTGTCTAGTTTCTATGTGAAGATATTTCCTTTTCCACCACAGGCATCAAAGCGGTCCACATGTCCACTTGCAGATTCTACAAAAAGAGTGTTTCAAAACTGCTCTATCAAAAGAAAAGTTCAACTCTTTGAGTTGAATGCACACTTCACAAAGAAGTTTCTGAGAATGCTTCTGTCTACTTTTTATGTGAAGCTTATCTCGTTTCCAACGAAGGCCTGAAAGCGATCCAAATATCCACTTGCAGATTCTCTGAAAAGAGTGTTTCAAAACTACTCTATCAACAGGAATGTTCAACTCTGTGAGTTGAATATAACATTACAAAGTAGTTTCTGAGAATGCTTCTATCTAGTTTTCCTACGAAGATATTTCCTTTTCTACCATAGGCCTCAAAGCGGTACAAATATCCACTATCAGATTCTACAAAAAGAGTGTTTCAAAACTGCTCTATCAAAAGGAATGTTCAACTCTGTGAGTTGAATGCACACATCACAACGTAGTTTCTGAGAATGCTTCTGTCTAGTTATTATATGAAGATATTTCCATTTCTACCATAGACCTCAAAGCGGTCCAAATATCCACTTGCAGATTCTACAAAAAGAGTGTTTCAAAATTGCTCTGTCAAAAGGAAGGTTCAACTCTGTGAGTTGAATGCACACATCACAAAGTTTTTTCTAACAATGCTTCTGTCTTGTTTTATGTGAAGACATTCCCTTTTCCTCTGAAGGCCTCAAAGTGTTCCGAATATTCGCTTGCAGATTCTACAAAAAGAGTGTTTCAACACTGCTCTAATAAAAGAAAATTTCAACTCTGTGAGTTGATTGCACTCATCACAAAGAAATTTCTGACAATTCTTCTGTTTAGCTTTTATGTGAAGAAATTCCCGTTTCCACAGAAGGCATCAAATCGGTCCAAATATCCATTTGCAGATTCTACAAAAAGAGTGTTTCAAAACTGCTCTATGAAAAGGGATTTTCAACTCTGAGTTGAATGCACACGTCACAAAGAAGTTTCTGAGAATGCTTCTCTCTAGTTTCTATCTGAGGATATTTCCAATTCCACCACAGGCCTCAAAGCGCTCCGAATATCCACTTGCAGACTCTACAAAAAGAGTGTTTCCAAACTGCTCTATCAAAAGAAAGTTTCAACTCTGTGAGTTGAATGCGCACATCGCAAAGTAGTTTCTGAGAATGCTTCTGTCTATTTTTTATATGAAGATATATCTTTTCTACCATAGACTTCAAAGCGGTCAAAATTTCCACTTGCAGATCCTAACGAAAGAGTTTTTCAAAACTGCTCTATCAAAAGGAAGCTTCAGCTCTGTGAGTTGAATGCAAACATCACAAAAAAGTTTTTGAGAATGCTTCTGTCTAGTATTTATGTGAAGATATTCCCGTTTCCAACGTAGGCCTCAAAGCGCTCCAAATATCTAGTTCCAGATTCTAAAAAAGAGTGTTTCAAAACTCCTCTGTCAACAGGAATGTTCAAATTTGTGAGTTGAATGCAAACATCCAAAGTAGTTTCTGATAATGATTCTGTCTAGTTTTTATATGAAGATATTTCCTTTTCTACCATAGGCCTCAAAGCACTCCAAATGTCCACTTTAAGATTCTACAAAAAGAATGTTTCTTTTGTGTGTGTGTGTGTGTGTGTGTGTGTGTGTGTGTGTGTGTGTCTTAACAGATATATTTTCATTTTTATTTTTTTATTATACTTTAAGTTTTAGAGTACATGTGCACATTTTGCAGGTTAGTTACATATGTATACATGTGCCATGCTGGTGCGCTGCACCCAGTAACTCGTCATCTAGCATTAGGTATATCTCTCAATGCTATCCCTCCCCCCTCCCCCCACCCCACCACAGTCCCCAGAGTGTGATGTTCCACTTCCTGTGTCCCTGTGATCTCATTGTTCAATTCCCACCTATGAGTGAGAATATGCAGTGTTTGGTTTTTTGTTCTTGAGATAGTTTACTGAGAATTATGATTTCCAGTTTCATCCATGTCCCTACAAAGGACAGAAACTCATCATTTTTTATGGCTGCATAGTATTCCATGGTGTATATGTGCCACATTTTCTTAATCCAGTCTATCATTGTTGGACATTTGGGTTGGTTCCAAGTCTTTGCTATTGTGAATAATGCCACAATAAACATACGTGTGCATGTGTCTTTATAGCATCATGATTTATACTCATTTGGGTATATACCCAGTACTGGGATGGCTGGGTCAAACGGTATTTCTAGTTCTAGATCCCTGAGGAATCGCCACACCGACTTCCACAATGGTTGAACTAGTTTACAGTCCCACCAACTGTGTAAAAGTGTTCCTATTTCTCCACATCCTCTCCAGCACCTGTTGTTTCCTGACTTTTTAATGATCGCCATTCTAACTGGTGTGAGATGGTATCTCATTGTGGTTTTGATTTGCGTTTCTCTGATGGCCAGTGAAGATGAGCATTTTTTCATGTGTTTTTTGGCTGCATAAATGTCTTCTTTTGAGAAGTGTCTGTTCATGTCCTTTGCCCACTTTTTGATGGGGTTCTTTGTTTTTTTCTTGTAAATTTGTTTGAGTTCATTGTAGATTCTGGATATTAGTCCTTTGTCAGATGAGGAGGTTGCAAAAATTTTCTCCCATTCTGTAGGTGGCCTGTTCACTCTGATGGTAGTTTCTTTTGCTGTGCAGAAGCTCTTTAGTTTAATTAGATCCCATTTGTCAATGTTGGCTTCTGTTGCCATTGCTTTTGATGTTTTAAACATGAAGTCCTTGCCTATGCCTATGTCCTGAATGGTAATGTCTAGGTTTTCTTCTAGGGTTTTCATGGTTTTAGGGCTAATGTTTAAGTCTTTAATCCATCTTCAATTAATTTTTGTATAAGGTGTAAGGAAGGGATCCAGTTTCAGCTTTCTACATATGGCTGGCCATTTTTCCCAGCACCATTTATTAAATAGGGAATCCTTTCCCCATTGCTTGTTTTTCTCAGGTTTGTCAAAGATCAGATGGTTGTAGATATGCGGCATTATTTCTGAGGGCTCTGTTCTATTCCATTGATCTATATCTCTGTTTTTGTACCAGTGCCATGCTGTTTTGGTTACTGTAGCCTTGTAGTATAGTTTGAAGTCAGGTAGTGTGATGCCTCCAGCTTTGTTCTTTTGGCTTAGTATTGACTTGGTGATGCGGGCTCTTTTTTGGTTCCATATGAACTTTAAAGTAGTTTTTTCCATTTCTGTGAAGAAAGTCATTTTTAGCTTGATGGGGATGGCATTGAATCTGTAAATTACTTTGGGCAGTATGGCCATTTTCACGATATCAAAATCATGCCAAAATGTAAAGCCCATCGAGTCTACGAAGAAACTGCATCAACTAACGAGCAAAAGAACCAGCTAACATCATAACGACGGGATCAAATTCACACATAACAATATTAACTTTAAATGTAAATGGACTATATGCTCCAATTAAAAGACATAGACTGGCAAATTGGATAAAGAGTCAAGACCCATCGGTGTG
>NC_000017.11:26643843-26698590 GCF_000001405.40 Homo sapiens | reverse complement strand
GCTAACTATCCTAAATTATATGCACCCAATACAGGAGCACACAGATTCATCAAGCAAGTCCTGAGTGACCTACAAAGAGACTTAGATTCCCACACATTAATAATGGGAGATTTTAACACCCCACTGTCAACATTAGACAGATCAATGAGACAGAAAGTCAACAAGGATACCCAGGAATTGAACTCAGCTCTACACCAAGCGGACCTAATAGACATCAACAGAACTCTCCACCCCTAAATCAACAGAATGTACATTTTTTTCAGCACCACACCACACCTATTCCAAAATTGACCATATACTTGGAAGTGAAGCTCTCCTCAGCAAATGTAAAAGAACAGAAAAAGAGTGTTTCAAAAGTGCTCCATAAAAAGGATGGTTCAACTCAGAGAGGTGAGTGCACACAACAAAATGAAGTTTTTGAGAATTCTTCTGTCTAGTTTCTGTGTGAAGATATTTTCTTTTACACCACAGGCCTCAAAGCACACCAAATGTCCACTTGCAGATTCTACAAAAAGAGTGTTTCAAAACAACTCTATGAAAAGAAATGTTCAACTGTGTGAGTTGAATGCACACATCACAAAGGAGTTTCTGAGAATGCTTCTGTCTACTTTTTATGTGAAGATATTCCCGTTTCCACCATGGGCCTCATAGCGCTCATAATTTCTACTTGCAGATTCTAAAAAAAGAGTGTTTCAAAACTGCTCTATCAAAAGAAAAGTTCAACACTGTGAGTTGAATGCACACATCACACATAAGTTTCTGAGAATGCTTCTGTCTAGTTTCTATGTGAAGATATTTCCATTTCCACCACAGGCCTCAAAGCGCTACAAATAACCACTGGCAGATTCTACAAAAAGAGTGTTTCAAAATTGCTCTATCAAAAGAAATGTTCAACTCTGTGAGTTGAATGCACACATCACAAAGTCGTTTCAGAGAATGCTTCTGTCTACTTTTTATGTGAAGATATTTCCTTTTGCACCACAGGCCTCAAAGCTCTCCTAATGTCCACTTGCAGATTCTAAAAAAAGAGTGTTTCAAAACTGCTCTATCAAAAGAATTGTTCAACTTTGTGAGTTGAATGCACACATCACAAATAAGTTTCTGAGAATACCTCTGTGTAGTTTCTATGTGAAGATTCTCCTGTTTCCAATGAAGGCTTCAAAGCGCTCCAAATATCCACTTGCAGACTCTACAAATGTGTATTTCAAAACTGCTCTATTAAAAGGAATGTTCAACATCGTGATTTGAATGCAAACATCTCAAAGTAGTTTCTGGGAATGCTTCTTTCTAGTTTTTATATGAAGATACTTCCTTTACTACCATAGGCTTCAAATCGCTCCAAATATCCACTGGCAGATTCTACAAAAAGAGTGTATCAAAACTGCTCTATCAAAAGGAAATGCTAGATGACGAGTTAGTGGGTGCAGCGCACCAGCATGGCACATGTATACATATGTAACTAACCTGCACAATGTGCACATGTACCCTAAAACTTAAAGTATAATAAAAAAAATTAAAAAAATTTTTAAAAAAAGGAAAGTTCAAATTTGTGAGTTAAAAGCACACATCACAAAGGAGTTTCTGAGAATGCTTCTGTCTACTTTCTATGTGAAGATATTTACTTTTCCACCAAAGGCCTCAAAGTGCTCCAAATGTCCACTTGCAGATTCTACAAAAAGAGTGTTTCAAAACTGCTCTATCATAAGAAAGGTTCAACTCTGTGAGTTGAATGCACACGTCAAAAGGAAGGTTCTGAGAATGCTTCTGTCTACTTTTTATGTGAAGATATTCCCCTTGCAAACGAAGTCCTCAAAGCGATCCAAATATCCCCTTGCAGATTCTGCAAGAGGAGTGTTTCAAAACTGCTCTATCAAAAGAAAAGTTCAACTCTGTGAGTTGATTGCAAACATCACAAAGTAGTTTCTGTGGATGCTTCTGTCTGGTTTTTATAAGAAGATTCTTGCTTCTCTACCATAGCACTCAAAGCGCTCCAAATATCCACTTGCAGATTCTACAAAAAGAGTGTTTCAAAACAGCTCTATCAAAACGAAGTTTCAACTCTGTTTTTTGAATGCACACATCAGAAAGAAGTTTCTGAGAATGCTTCTGTCTTGTTTTTACGTGAAGATGTTCCTGTTTCCACCGTAGTCCTCAAAGCGCTACAAATATCCACTTGCAGATTCTAAGTAAAGGGAGTTTCAAAACTACTCTATCAAAAGAAATGTTCAATTCTGGGAGTTGAATGCAAACATCACAAAGTAGTTTCTGTGAATGCTTCTGTCGGTTTTTATATGAAGATTCTTCCTTTTTTACCGAAGGCTTCAAAGCGCTCCAAATATCCACTTGCAGATTCTACAAAAAGAGTGTTTCAAAACTTCTCTATCAAAAGGACTTTTCATCTCTGTGAGTTGAAGGCACACATCACAGAGAACTTTCTGAGAATGCTTTTGTCTACTTTTTATGTGAAACTATTCCCGTTTCCAATGAAGGCCTGAAAGCGGTCCAAATATCCACTTGCAGATACTACAAAAAGTGTGTTTCAAAACTGCTCTATCAAAAGAAAGTTGCACTCTGTTAGTTAAATGCACACATCACAAAGAAGTTTCTGAGAATGCTACTGTCTAGTTCTTATATGAAGATGTTTCCATTTCTGCTGTAGGCCAGAAAGCGCTCCAAAGATCCACTTGTGTATTCTACAAAAAGAGTGTTTCAAAACTGCTCTATCAAGAGGGATGTTCAACTCTGTGAGTTGAATGTACACATCAAAAAGAAATTTTTGAGAATGCTTCTGTCTAGTTTCTATGTGAAGATATTTCCTTTTCCACCACAGGCCTGAATGCCCTCCAAATGTTCACTTGCAGATTCTACAAGAAGAGTGTTTCAAAACTGCTCTATCGAAAGAAAGCTTCAACTCTGTGAGTTGAATGCACACATCACAAAGAAGTTTCTGAGAATGCTTCTGTCTCCTTTTTATGTGAGGCTATTCCCGTTTTGAAGTAAGTCCTCAAATTGGTCCAAATATTCACTTGTAGTTTCTACAAAAAGTGTTTCAAAACTGCTCTATCAAAAGCAAGGTTCAACTCTATAAGTTTAATGCACACATCACAAAGAAGTTTCTGAGAATGGCTCTCTCTAGTTTCTATGTGAATATATTTCCTTTTCCACCACAGGCCTCAAACAGCTCCAAATGTCCACTTGCAGATTCTACAAAAGCAGTGTTTCAAAACTGCTCTATCGAAAGGAAGGTTCAACTCTGTGAGTTGAATACAGACATCACAAAGAAGTTTCTGAGAATGCTTCTGTCCCGTTTTTATGTGAAGCTACTCCCGTTTCCAATGAAGGCCTAAAATCGGTCCAAATGTTCACTTCCAGTTTCTACAAAAAGTGTGTTTCAAAACTGCTCTATCTAAAGTAATGTTGAACTCTGTGAGTTGCATGAACACATCACAAAGTAGTTTCTAAGAATGTTTCTGTCTAGTTTTTAAATGAAGATATTTCCTTTTCTACCATAGGAATCAAAGCGCTCCAAATACCCACATGTAGATTCTACCAAAAGAGTGTTCCAAAACAGCTCTATCAAAAGGAAGGGTCAACTATGTAAGTTGAATGCACACATTACAAAGATATTTCTGAGAGTCCTTCTCTCTAGTTTCTATGTGAAGATATTTCCTTTTCCACCACAGGCTTCAAAGTGCTCAAAATGTCCAGTTCCAAATTCTACAAAATAGTGTTTCAAAACTGCTCTATCAAAAGAAAGGTTCAACTCTGTGAGATGAATGCACACATCACAAAGAAGTTTCTGAGAATGCTTCTGTCTAGTTTTTCTGTGAAGCAATTCCCATTTCCACCGTAGGCCTCAAAGCGCTCCAAATATCCACTTTCAGATTCTACAATAAGAGTGTTTCAAAACTGCTCTATCAAAAAGAATGTTCAACTCTGTGAGTTGAATGCAAACGTCCAATGTCATTTCTCAGAATGCTTCTGTCTAATTTTTATATGAAGATATTTCCTTTTCTAACATAGGCCTCAAAGCACTCCAAATATCCCCTTGCAGATTCTTCAAAAGAGTGTTTCAAAACTGCTCTATCAAATGGAAGGTTCAATTCTGTGAGTTTAATGCAAACATCCAAAGTCGTTTCTGAGAATGCTTCTGTCTAGTTGTTATATGAAGATATTTCCTTTTCTAACATAGGCTTCAAAGCACTCCAAGTATCCCCTTGCAGATTCTTCAAAAAGAGTGTCTCAAAACTGCTCTATCAAAAGGGAGGTTCAAATCTGTGAGTTGAATTCACACATCACAAAGTAGTTTCTGAGAATGCTTCTGTCTAGATTTTTTTTTCTTTATTATTATTATTATTATATATACTTTAAATTTTAGGGTACATGTGCACAATGTGCAGGTTAGTTATATATGTATACACGTTCCATGCTGGTGCTCTGCACCCACTAACTCGTCATCTAGCATTAGGTATATCTCCCAATGCTATCCCTCCCCCGTCCCCCCACCCCACAACAGTCCCCAGAGTGTGATGTTCCCCTTCCTCTGTCCGTGTGTTCTCATTGTTCAATTCCCACCTACGAGTGAGAATAAGTGGTGTTTGGTTTTTTGTTCTTGCGATAGTTTACTGAGAATGATGATTTCCAATTTCATCTGTGTCCCTACAAAAGACATGAACTCATCATTTTTTATGGCTGCATAGTATTCCATGGTGTATATGTGCCACATTTTCTTAATCCAGTCTATCTTTATTGGACATTTGGGTTGGTTCCAAGTCTTTGCTATTGTGAATAATGCCGCAATAAAGATACTTGTGCATGTGTCTTTATAGCAGCATGATTTATAGTCCTTTGGGTATATACCCAGTAATGGGATGGCTGGGTCAAATGGTATTTCTAGTTCCAGATCCCTGAGGAATCGCCACACTGACTTCCACAATGGTTGAACTAGTTTACAGTCCCACCAACAGTGTAAAAATGTTCCTATTTCTCCACATCCTCTCCAGCACCTGTTGTTTCCTGACTTTTTAATGATTGCCATTCTAACTGGTGTGAGATGGTATCTCATTGTGGTTTTGATTTGCATTTCTCTGATGGTCAGGTATGGTGAGCATTTTTTCATGTGTTTTTTGGCTGCATAAATGTCTTCTTTTGAGAAGTGTCTGTTCATGTCCTTCACCCACTTTTTGATGGGGTTCTTTGTTTTTTTCCTGTAAATTTGTTTGAGTTCGTTGTAGATTCTGGATATTAGCCCTTCATCAGATGAGCAGGTGGCTAAAATTTTCTCCCATTCTGTAGGTTGCCTGTTCACTCTGATGGTAGTTTCTTTTGCTGTGCAGAAGCTCTTTAGTTTAATTAGATCCCATTTGTCAATGTTGGCTTTTGTTGCCATTGCTTTTGGTTTTTTAGATATGAAGTCCTTGCCTATGCCTATGTCCTGAATGGTAATGCCTAGGTTTTCTTCTAGGGTTTTTATGGTTTTAGGTCTAACGTCTAAGTCTTTAATCCATCCTGAATTGATTTTTGTATAAGGTGTAAGGAAGGGATCCAATTTCAGCTTTCTACATATGGCTAGCCATTTTTCCCAGCACCATTTATTAAATAGGGAATCATTTCCCCATTGCTTGTTTTTGTCAGGCTTGTCAAAGATCAGATGGTTGTAGATATGTGGCATTATTTCTGAGGGCTCTGTTCTGTTCCATTGATCTATATCTCTGTTTTTGTACCAGTACCATGCTGTTTTGGTTACTGTAGCCTTGTAGCATAGTTTGAGGTCAGGTAGCGTGATGACTCCAGCTTTGTTCTTTTGGCTTAGAATTGACTTGGTGATGCGGGCTCTTTTTTGGTTCCATATGAACTTTAAAGTAGTTTTTTCCAATTCTGTGAAGAAAGGCATTGGTAGCTTGATGGAGATGGCATTGAATCTGTAAATTACCTTGGGCAGTATGGCCATTTTCACGATATTGATTCTTCCTACCCATGAGCATAGCATGTTCTTCCATTTGTTTGTATCCTCTTTTATTTCCTTGAGCAGTGGTTTGTAGTTCTCCTTGAAGAGGTCCTTCACATCTCTTGTAAGTTGGATTCCTAGGTATTTTATTCCCTTTGAAGCAATTGTGAATGGGAGTTCACCCATGATTTGGCTCTGTGTTTGTCTGTTGTTGGCGTATAAGAATGCTTCTGATTTTTGTACATTGATTTTGTATCCTGAGACTTTGCTGAAGTTGCTTATGAGCTTAAGGAGATTTTGGGCTGAGACATTGGGGTTTTCTAAATATACAATCATGTCGTCTGCAAACAGGGACAATCAGTCTAGTTTTTATATGAAGATAATTACTTTACCATAGGCCTCAAAGCAGTCCAAATATCAGATTGCAGATTCTACAAAAAGAGTGTTTCAAAACTACTCTTTCAAAACGAAGATTCAATTCTTTGAGTTGAGTGTACACATCACAAAGAAGTTTTTGAGAATGCTTCTGTCTAGTTTATATGTGAAGATATTCCCATTTCCATTGAAGCCCTCAAAGATGACAAAATATCCACTTGCAGATTCTTCAAAACGCGTGTTTCAAAACTGCTCAATCAAAAGGAAGGTTCAACTCTGTGAGTTGAATGCACACATCACAAAGGACTTCCTGAGAATGCTTCTGTCTAGTTTCTATGTGAAGATATTTCCTTTTACACCACAGATCTCAAAGCACTACAAATGTCCACTTGCAGACTCTACAAAAAGAGTGTTTCAAAACTGCTCTATCAAAAGGAATGTTCAACTTTGTGAGTTGAATGCACACATCGCAAAGGAGTTTCTGAGAATGCTTCTGTCTACTTTCTATGTGAAGATATTTACTTTTCCACCAAAGGCCTCAAAGCACTCCAAATATCCACTAGCAGATTCTACAAAAAGAGTGTTTCAAAACTGCTCTATCAAAAGGGATGTTCCACAGTGTGAGTTGAATGTACACATCACAAAGAAGTTTCTGAGAATGCTTCTGTCTCGTTTCTAAGTGAAGATATTTCCTTTTCCACCACAGGCCTGAAAGCATTCCAAATGTCCACTTGCAGATACTACAAAAAGAGTGTTTCAAAACTTCTCTATCAAAAGAAAAGTTCAACTTTTTGAGTTGAATGCACACATCACAAAGCAGTTTCTGAGAATGCTTCTGTCGAGTTTTATATGAAAATATTTCCTTTTCTACCATTAGACCTCAAAGCGTTCCAAATATGCACTTGTAGATTCTACCAAAATAGTATTTGAAAACTGCTCTATCAAGAGGAAGGTTCAACTCTGTGAGTTGAATGTACACAACACAAAGAAGTTTCTGAGAATGCTTCTGTCTAGTTTCTATGTGAAGATATTTCATTTTCCACAACAGTCCTCAAAGAGCTCAAAATGTCCACTTGAAATTCTACAAAAAGAGTGTTTCAAAACTGCTCTATCAAAAGGAAGGTTCAACTCTGTTAGTTGAATGCACACATCGCAAAGAAGTTTTAGAATGGTTCTGTCTAGTTTCTACGTGGAGATACTTCCTTTTCCATGACAACTTTCAGAGTGCTCCAAATGTCCACTTGCAGATTCTACAAAAGGAGTGTTTCAAAACAGCTCTGTCAAAAGGAATGCTCAACTCTGTGAGTTGAATGCATACATCACAGGGAAGCTTCTGAGAATGCTTCTGTCTGCTTTTTAGGTGAAGCTATTCCCGTTCCCAACAAAGGCCTCAAAGCGGTAAAAATATCCACTTGCAGATTCTGCAAAAAGAGTGTGTCAAAACTGCTCTATGAAAAGCAATGATCAACTCTGTGAGTGGAATGCACACATTACAAGGTAGTTTCTGGGAATGCTTCAGTCTAGTTTTTAAATGAAGATATTTCCGCGTGAACCCGGGAGGCGGAGCTTGCAGTGAGCCGAGATCCCGCCACTGCACTCCAGCCTGGGCGACAGAGC
The DNA here is from genome assembly GCF_000001405.40 of Homo sapiens. NCBI lineage: Eukaryota > Metazoa > Chordata > Mammalia > Primates > Hominidae > Homo > Homo sapiens. The sequence continues at coordinate 26,690,651 of NC_000017.11, read as the reverse complement.
GAGACTCCGTCTCAAAAAAAAAAAAAAAAAAAAGATATTTCCTTTTCTACCATACGCCTCAAAACGGTACAAATATCCACTTGCAGATTCTACAAAAAGAGTGTTTCAAAATTGTTCTATCAAAACGAAGGTCCAATTCTGTGAGATGAATGCACACATCAAAAACATGTTTTTGAGAATGCTTTTGTCTACTTTTTATGTGAAGACATTCCCATTTACACCAAAGGCCTCAAAGCCATCAAAATATCCACTTGCAGAATCTACAAAAAGCGTGTTTCAAAACTGATCTATCAAAAGGAAGGTTCAACTCTGTTAGTTGAGTGCACACATCACAAAGAAGGTTCTGAGAATGCTTCTGTCTAGTTTCTAGGTGAAGATATTTCCTTTTCCACACAGGCCTGAAAGTGCTCCAAATGTACACTTGCAGATTCTACAAAAAGAGTGTTTCAAAAGGGCTCTATCAAAAGGGATGTTGAACTCTGTGAGTTGAACGCACACATCACAAAGAAGTCTCTGAGAAAGCATCTGTCTGGTATTTATATGAAGATAGTTCCTTTTCTACCATGGGACTCAAAGCACTCCAAATATCCACTTGCAGTTTTCAAAAAGAGTGTTTCAAAACTGCTCTATCAAAAGGAAGGTTCAACTTTGTTGGCTGAATGCACACATCACAAAAAAGTTTCTAAGAATGCTTCTGACTACCTTTTTTTGTGATGTTATTCCCGTTTCCAAAGAAGGCCTCCAAGAATTCCAAATATCCACTTGAAGATTCTTCAAAAAGAGTGTTTCAAAACTGCTTTATCAAAAGGAAGGTTCAACGCTATTAGTTGAATGCACAAATCACAAAGTAGCTTCTGAGAATGCTTCTGTCTAGTTTTTATATGAAGATATTCCCTTTTCTACTGTAGGCTTCAAAACAGTCCAAATATCCACTTGCAGATTCTACAAAAAGGGTGTTTCAAAACTGCACTTTCAAAATGAAGATTCAATTCTGTGAGTTGAATCCACACATCACAAAGAGGTTTCTGAGAATTCTTCTGTCTACTTTTTATGTGAAGCTATATCCTTTTCCAACGAAGGCCTCTAATCTGTCCAAATATCCACATGCAGTTCCTACAAAAAGAGTGTTTCCAAACTGCTCTATTAAAAGAAAGGTTCAACTCTGTGAGTTGAATGCACACATCACAAAGAAGTTTCTGAGAATGCTTCTGTCTAGTTTCTATGTGAAGATATTTCCTTTTCCACCACAGGCCTCAAAGAGTTCCAAATGTCCACTTGCAGATTTTACAAAAAGAGCGTTTCAAAACTGCTCTATCAAAAGAAAGTTTCACCTCTGTGAGTTGAATGCACACATCACAAAGAAGTTTGTGAGAATGCTTCCGTATACTTTTTATGTGAAGCTTTTCCCGTTTCCCAACGAAGCCTCCAAGCATTCCAAATATCCACTTGCAGATTCTACAAAAAGCATATTTCAAATCTGTTCTATCAAAAGGAAGGTTCAATTCTGTTAGTTGAATGCACACATCACAAAGAAGTTTCTGAGAATGCTTCTGTCTAGTTTCTTTGTGAAGATATTTCCTTTTCCACACAGGCCTCAAAGTGCTCCAAATGTCCAGTTGCAGATTCCACAAAAAGAGTGTTTCAAAACTGCTCTGTCAAAAGGAATGTTCAACTCAGTGAGTAAAGCGCACATCACAGAGAAGTTTCTCCCAATGCTTCTGTCTACTTTTTATGTGAAGCTATTCCCATTTCCAACGAAGGCCTCAAAGTGCTCCAAGTATCCACTTGCAGATTCGTCAAAAAGAGTGTTTCAAAATGGCTCTATGGAAAGGAATGTTCTATTCTGTGAGTTGAATGCACACATCACAAAGAGGTCTCTGAGAAAGATTCTGTCTGGTTTTTATATGAAGATATTTCCTTTTCTACCATGGGCCTCAAAGCACTCCAAATATCCACTTGCAGATTTTCAAAAAGAGTTTTTCAAAACTGCTCTATCAAAAGGAACTTTCAACTCTATTAGTTGAATGCACACATCACAAAGAAGTTTCTGAGAATGCTTCTGTCTACTTTGTATGTGATGCTATTCCCCTTTCCAACTAAGGCCTCAAAGCACTCCAAATATCCTCTTGCAGATTCTTCAAAAACAGTTTTTCAAAACTGCTCTATCAAAAGGAAGGTTCAAATCTGTTAGTTGAACGCACACGTCACAAAGAAGTTTCTGAGAATGCTTCTCTCTACTTTTTATGTGAAGCTATTCCCGTTTCCAACGAAGACCTCCAAGCATTCAAATATCCACTTGCAGATTCTACAAAAAGAGTGTTTCAAAACAGCTCTATGGAAAGGAATGTTCAACTATGTGAGTTGAATGCACACATCACAATGTAGTTTCTCAGAATGCTTCTGTCTAGTTTTTATTTGAAGATACTTTCTTTTCTACCATAGGCCTCAAAGCGGTCCAAATATGCCCTTGCAGATTCTACAAAAAGAGTGTTTCAATACTGCTCTTTCAAAAGGAAGATTCAATTCGGTGAGTTAAATGCACACATCACAAAGTAGTTTTTGAGAATGCTTTTGTGTAGTTTTTATATGAAGATATTACCATTTACACCGAAGGCCTCAAATCCGTCATAATATATACTTGCAGATTCTACAAAAAGCGTATTTCAAAAATGTTCTATCAAAAGGAAGGTTCAACTCTGTGAGTTGAATGCACACATCACAAAGAAGTTTCTGAGAATGCTTCTGTCTAGTTTCTTTGTGAAGATATTTCCTTTTCCACCACAGGCGTCAAAGCGCTCCAAATGTCCAATTGCAGATTCTACAAAAAGAGTGTTTCAAAACTTCTCTGTGAAAAGGAATGTTCAACTCTGTGAGTGGAATGCACACATCACAAAGAAGTTTTTGAGAATGCTTCTGTCTAGTTTTTATGTGAATATATTTCCTATTCCACCACAAGCCTCAAAGCACCCCAAAAGTCCACTTGCAGATTCTACAAAAAGAGTGTTTCAAAACTTCTCTGTGAAAAGGAATGTTCAACTCTGTGAGTGGAATGCACGCATCACAAAGAAGTTTTTGAGAATGCTTCTGTCTAGCTTTTATATGAAGATAATTCCTTTTCTACCATAGCCCTCAGTTCGGTCCAAATATCCACTTTCAGTTTCTAAAAAAAGTGTTTCAAAACTGCTCTATCAACAGGAATGTTCAACTCTGTGAGTTGAATGCACATATCAGAAAGTAGTTTCTAAGAATGCCTCACTCCAGTTTTTATATGAAGATATATCCTTTTCTACCATAGGACTCAAAGTCCTCCAAATATCCACTTGCAGACTCTACCAAAAGAGTGTTTCAAAACAGCTCTAGGAAAAGGACGGTTCAACTCTGTAAATTGAAAGCACACACCAACAAAGAAGTTTTGGAGAATGGTTCTCTCTGGTTTCTATATGAAGATATTTCCTTTTCCACCACAGGCCTCAAAGCGCTCCAAATGTCCACTTGCAAATTCTCCCAAAAGAGTGTTTCAAAACTGCTTAATCAAAAGCAAGGTTCAACTCTGTGAGTTGAATGCACACATCACAAAGTAGTTTCTGAAAATGCTTCTGTCTAGTTTTTATATGAAGATATTTCCTTTTCTACTGTAGGCCTCAAAGCAATCCAAATATCCACCTGCAGATTCTACAAAAAGAGTGTTTCAGAACTGCACTTTCAAAACGAAGTTTCAATTCTGTGAGTTGAAGCACACATCACAAAGAAGTTTCTGAGAATGCATCTCTAGTTTCTATGTGAAGACATATCCTTTTCCACCACACTCCTCAAAGAGCTGCAAATGTCCACTTGCAAATTCTACAAAAAGAGGGATTCATAACTGTTCTATCAACAGGAAGATTCCACTCTGTGATTTGAATGCACACATCACAAAGAAGTTTCTGAGAATGCTTCTGTCTAGTTTCTATGTGAAGATATTTCCTTTTCCACCACAGTCCTCATAGCACTCTTAATGTCCACTTGTAGATTCCACAAAAAAAGTGTTTCAAAACTGCTCTGTCAAAAGAAATGTTCAACTCTGTGAGTTGAATGCACACATCACAGAAAAGTTTGTGAGAATGCTTCTGCCTATTTTTTATGTGAAGCTATTCCCGTTTCCAACGAAGGCCTCAAAGCAGAACAAGTGTCCACTTGCAGATTTTACAAAAAGAGTGTGTCAAAACTGCTCTATGAAAAAGGAATGTTCAACTCTGTGAGTTGAAAGCACACATCACAAAGTAGTTTCTGGGAATGGTTCTGCCTAGTTTTTAATTAAGTTATTTCCTTTTCTACTGTAGGCCTCAAAGCGGTCCAAATGTCGACTTACAAATTCTATAAAAAGAGGGTTTCAAAACTGCTGTCAGACGAAAGGTTCAAATCTGTGAGTTGAATGCACACATCACAAAGAAGTTTCTGAGAGTGCTTCTGTCCAGTTTCTATGTGAAGATATTTCCTTTTCCACCACAGGCCTCAAAAAGCTCCAAATGTCCACTTGCAAATTCTACAAATAGAGTGTTTCAAAACTGCTCTATCGAAAGGAAGGTTCAACTCTGTGAGTTGAATACACACATCACAAAGTAGTTACTGAGAATTCTTCTGTCTATTTTCTATGTGAAGATATTTCCTTTTCCATACAGGCCTCAAAGCGTTCCAAATGTACACTTGCAGATTCTGCAAAAAGAGTATTTCAAAACTGCTCTGTTAAAAGTAATGTTCAACACTGGGAGTTGAATGCACACATAAGTTTCCGAGAATGCTTCTGTCTACTTTTTATGTGAAGCTATTCCTGTTTCCTACGAAGCCTCAAAGCGCTCCAAATATCCACTTGCAGATTCTGCAAAAAGAGTGTTTCAAAAGACTCTATCAAAAGGGATGATCAACTCTGTGAGTTGAATGTACACATCACAAAGAAGTCTCTGAGAATCCTTCTCTCTAGTTTTTATATGAAGATATTTCCTTTTCTACTATAGGCCTCAAAGCAATCCAAATATCCACTTGGAGATTCTTCAAAAAGAGTGTTGCAAAACTGCCCTATCAAAAGGAAGGTTCAAGTCTGTTAGCTGAATACACACATCACAAAGAAGTTTATGAGAATGCTTGTGTATACTTTTTATGTGAAGCTAATCCCGTTTCCAATGAAGGCCTCAAAGCACTGCAAATATCCACTTGCAGATCCTTCAAAAAGAGTGTTTCAAAACTACTCTATCAAAAGGAAAGTTCAACTCTGTGAGTTGAATGCACACATCACAAAGTACCTTCTGAGAATCCTTCTGTCTAATTTTTATATAAAGATATATCCTTTTCTACTCTATGCCTCAATGTGGTGCAAATATCCACTTGCAGATTCTACAAAACAGTGTTTCAAAACTGCACTTTCAAAACGAAGGTTCATTTCAGTGAGCTGAATGCACCCATCATAAACAAGTTTCTGAGAATTCTTCTCTCTAGTTTCTATGTGAAGATATACCGTTTTACACCACAGTCCTCAAAGAGGTCCAAATGTCCACTTGCAAATTCTACAAAAAAGGTGATTCAAAACTGCTCTATCAAAAGGAAGGTTCAATTCTGTGAGTTGAATGCACACATCACAAAGAACTTTCTGAGAATGCTTCTGTCTAGTTTCTATGTGAAGATATTTCCTTTTCCACCAAAGGCCTCAAAGCGCTCCAAATGTCCACTGGCAGATCCTACAAAATGAGTGTTTCAAAACTGTTCTGTCAAAATGAATGTTCAACTCTGAGAATTGAATGCACAAATCACAAAGAAGTTTTTGAGAATGCCTCTGTCTAGTTTTTATGTGAAGATATTTCCTTTTCCACCACAAGCCACAAGGACTCCAAATACCCACTTGTAGATTCTACAAAAAGAGTGTTTCAAAACTACTCTGTCAAAAGGAATGTTAAACTCTGTGTGTTGAATGTATACATCACAAAGAAGATTCTGAGAATGCTTTTGTCTACTTTTTATGTGAAGCTAAACCCGTTTCCAATGAAAGCCTCAAAGCGGTAGAAATATCCAGTTGCATATTCTACAAAAAGAGTGTTTCAAAACTTCTCTATGAAAAGGAATCTTCAACTCTCTGAGTTGAATGCACACACCACAAAGCAGTTTCTGACAACGCTTCTGTCTAGTTTTTATATGAAGATATTTCCTTTTCTACCGTAGCCCTCAAAGCGGTCCAAATATTCACTTGCAGATTCTACAAAAAGAGTGTTTCAAGACTGCTCTTTCAAAAGGAAGGTTCAATTCTGTGACATGAATGCACACATCACAGAGAAGTTTTTGAAAATGCCTTTGCCTAGTTTTTATATGAAGATATTCCCATTTCCACCGAAGGCCTCAAAGCTGTCAAAATATCCACTTGCAGATTCTACAAAAAGCGTGTTTCCAAAAGACTCCATCAAAAGGGATGTTCAACTCTGTGAGCTGAATGTACACATCACAAAGAAGTCTCAGAGAACGCTTCTGTCTAGTTTTTATATGAAGATATTAACTTTTCTACCATAGGCTTCCAAGCACTCCAAATATCCACTTGCAGATTCTTCAAAAAGAGTGTTTCAAAACTGCTCTATCAAAGGGAAGGTTCAACTCTGTTAGTTGAATGCACACATCACAAAGAAGTTTCTGAGAATGCTTCTGTCTACTTTTTCTTTGAAGCTATTCCGTTTCCAATGAAGGCCTCAAAGCGCTCCAAATATCCACTTGCGGATTCTACAAAAAGAGTGTTTCAAAACTGTTCTATCAAAAGGGGCGTTCAACCCTGTTAGTTGAATGTACACATCACAAAGAAGTTTCTGAGAGTGCTTCTGTCTAGTTTCTATGCGAAGATATTTCCTTTTCCTCCACAGGCCTGAAAGCGCTCCAATTCTCCACTTGCAGATTCTACAAAAAGAGTATTTCAAAACTTCTCTGTCATAAGGAAAGTTCAACTCTGTGAGTTGAATTCACACATCACAAATTAGTTTCTGAGAATGCTTCTGTATAGTATTTATATGAAGATATCTCCTTTTCTACTGCAGGCCACAAAGCGGTCCAAATATCCACTTGCAGATTCTACAAAAAGAGTGTTTCAAAACTTCACTATCAAAACGAAGGTTCAATTCTGTGAGTTGAATGCACACATCACAAAGAAGTTTTTGAGAATGCTTATCTCGAGTTTCTATGTGAAGATATTTCCTTTTCCACCACAGTCCTCAAAGAGCTCCAAATATCCACTTGCAAATTGTACAAAAAGAGTGTTTCAAAACTGCCCCATCAAAAGGGATGTTCAACTCTGTGAGTTCAATGCACACATCACAAAGAAGTTTCTGAGAATTCTTCTCCCTAGTTTCTATGGGAAGAAATTTCCTTTTCCGCCACAAGCCTGAAAACGCTCAAATGTCCACTTCCAGATGCTACAAAACGAGTGTTTTAAAACTACTCTATCAAAAGAAAGGTTCCACTCTGTGAGTTGAATGCACACATCACAAAGAAGTGTCTGAGAATGTTTCTGTCTCCTTTTTATGTGAAGCTATTCTGGTTTCCAATGAAGGCCTCAACTGGGTGCAAATATCCACACGCAGTTTCTACAAAAGGAGTGTTTCAAAACTGCTCTATCAAAGGGAAGGTTCAACTCTGTAAGTTTAATGCACACATCACAAAGAAGTTTCTGAGAATCCTTCTCTAGTTTCTACGTGAAGATATTTCCTTTTCCACCACAGGCCTCAAAGAGCTCCAAATATCCACTTTCAATTTCTACAAAAATAGTGTTTCAAAACTGCTCTATCAATAGAAAGGTTCAACTCTGTGAGTTGAATGTACACATCACAAAACTTTCTGAAAATGCTTCTGTCTAGTTTCTATGTGAAGATATTTCCCTTTCCACCACAGGCCTCAAAGAGTTCCAAATGTCCACTTGCAAATTCTACAAAAAGAGTGTTTCAAAACTGCTCTATCAAAAGGAAGGTTCTACTCTGTGAGTTGAGTGCACACATCACAAAGAAGTTTCTGAGAATGCTTCTGTCTACTTTTTATGTGAAGCTAAACCAGTTTCCAACGAAGGCCTCAAAGAGGTACAAATATCCAGTTACAGATACTACAAAAAGAGTGTTTCAAAACTGCTCTATCAAAAGGAATGTTCAACTCTGTGAGTTGAATGCACACATCACAAAGTAGTTTCTGAGAATGCTTCTGTCTAGTTTTTATATGAAGATATTTCCTTTTCTACCATAGCCCTCAAAGCTGTCCAAATCTCCACTTGCAGATTCTACAAAAAGAGTGTTTTAAAACTGCTCTATCAAAAAGAATGTTCAACTCTGTTAGTTGAATGCACACTTCACAAAGAAGTTTCTGAGAATGCTTCTGTCTACTTTTTATGTGCAGCTATTCCCGTTTCCAACGAAGGCCTCAAAGCAATAAAAATATCCACTTGCAGATCCTACAAAGAGTGTTTCAAAACCGCTCTATGATAAGGAAAGTTCAACTCTGTGAATTGAATTCACACATCACAAATTAGTTTCTGAGAATTCTTCTCTGTAGTTTTTATATGAAGATATCCCGTTTCCAACGAAGGCCTCTAAGCCGTACAAATATCCACTTGCAGATTCTACAAAAAGAGTGTTTCAAAACTGCATTTTCAAAACAAACGTTCAATTCTGTGAGTTGAATGCACGCTTCACAAAGTAGTTTCTGAGAATGCTTCCCTCTAGTTTCTATGTGAAGATATTTCCTTTTCCACCACAATCCTCAAAGAGCTCCAAATATCCACTTGCAAATTGTACAAAAAGAGTGTGTCAAAACTGCTCTATCAAAAGGGATGTTCAACTCTGTGATTTTAATGCACACATCACAAAGATGTTTCTGAGTATTCTTCTCCCTATTTTCTATGTGAAGATATTTCCTTTTCCACCACAGGCCTGAAAGCGCTCCAAATGTCCACTTGCAGATTCTACAAAACGAGTGTTTCAAAACTGCTCTATCAAAAGAAAGGTTCCACTCTGTGAGTTGAATGCGCACATCACAAAGAAGTTTCTGAGAATGCTTCTGTCTTCTTTTTATGTGAAGCTATTCCGGTTTCCAATGAAGGCCTCAACTCAGTGCAAATATCCACATGCAGTTTCTACAAAAAGAGTATTTCAAAGCTGCTCTATCCAAAGGAAGGTTCAACTCTGTAAGTTTAATGCACACATCACAAAGAAGTTTCTGAGAATCCTTCTCTCTAGTTTCTTTGTGAAGATATTTCCTTATCCACCACAGGCCACAAAGAGCTCCAAATGTCCACTTTCAAATTCTACAAATTAGTGTATCAAAATTGCTCTATCAATAGAATGGTTCAACTCTTTGAGTTGAATGTACTCATCACAAAAGTCTCTGAGAATGCTTCTGTCTAGTTTGTATGTGATGATATTTCCTTTTCCACCACAGGCCTCAAAGAGCTCCAAATATCCACTTGCAAACTCTGCAAAAAGAGGGTTTCAAAACTGCTCTTTCAAAAGGAATGTTCAACTCTATGAGTTGAATGCACACATCACTGAAAAGTTTCTGAGAATGTTTCCGTCTACTTTTTATGGGAAGCTATTCCCATTACCAACGAAGGCCTCAAAGCCATTGAAATATCCACTTGCAGATTCTCCAAAAAGAGTGTGTCAAAACTGCTCTATGAAAAGGAATGTTCAACTCTGAGAGTTGAATGCGCACATCACAAAGTAGTTTCTGGGAATGCTTCTGTCTAGTTTTTATATTTCCTTTTCTACCATAGGTCTCAAAGCGGTTCAAATATCGACTTGCAGATTCTACAAAAAGAGTGTTTCCAAACTGCTCTTTCAAAAGGAAGGTTCAACTCTGTCAGTTTAATGCACACATCACAAATTAGTTTCTGAGAATGCTTCTCTCTAATTTCTATGTGAAGATATCTCCTTTTCCACCACAGGCTTCAGAGAGTTCCAAATGTCCACTTAAAAATTCTACAAAAGAGTTTTTCAAAACTGCTCTATCAGAAGAAAGGTTCAACTATATGAGTTGAATGCACACATCCTAAAGAAGTTTCTGAGAATGCTTCTGTCTAGTTTCTATGTGAAGATATTTCCTTTTCCACCACAGGCCTTGAAGATCTCCAAATGTCCACTTGCAAATTCTACAAAAAGAGTATTTCAAAACTGCTCTGTCAAAAGGGATGTTCAACTCTGTGAGTTGAATGCACACATCTCAAAGTAGTTTCTGAGAATGCTTCTGTCTGGTTTTTATGTGAAGATATTTCATTTTCAACTGTAGGCATCAAAGCAGTCCAAATATACACTTGAAAATACTGCAACAAGAGGGTTTCAAAACTGCTCTATCAAAAAGAAGGTTCAACTCTGCGAGTTGAATGCACACATCACAAAGAAGTTTCTGAGAATGCTTCAGTCTCATTTTATTTGAAGCTTTTCCCGTTTCCAACGATGGCATCAAATCAGTCTAAATATCCACTTGCAGTTTCTACAAAAAGATTGTTTCAAAACTGCTCTATAAAAGTAATGTTCAAGTCTGTGAGTTGAATGCACACATCTCAAAGTAGTTTCTGAGAATGCTTCTGTCTAGTTTCTATATTACGATATTTCCTTTTCTGCGGTAGGCCTCAAAGTGGTGAAATATCCACTTGCAGATTCTACAAAAAGAGTGTTTCAAAACTGCTCTTTCAAAAGGAAAGTTCAATTCTGTGAGTTGAATGCACACATCACAAAGTTGTTTTTGAGAATGCTTCTGTCTAGTTTTTATATGAAGATATTCCCATATCCACTGAAGGCCTCAAAGCCATCAAAATATCCATTTGCAGATCCTTCAAAAAGCGTGTTTCAAAACTGCTCTATCAAAAGGGATGTTCGACTCTGTGAGTTGAATGCACACATCACAAAGAAGTTTCAGAGAATGCTTCTGCCTCGTTTTCATGTGATACAACTCCCGTTTCCAATGAAGGCCTCAAATCGGTCCAAATATCCACTTGCATTTCCTACAAAAAGAGTGTTTCAAAACTGCTCTATCAAAACTAATGTTCAACTCGGTGAGTTTTATGAACACATCACAAACTAGTTTCTAAGAATGCTTCTGTCTAGTTTCTTCTTTTTTTATTATTATACTTTAAGTTTTAGGGTACATGTGCACATTGTGCATGTTAGTTACATATGTATACATGTGCCATGCTGGTGCCCTGCACCCACAAAGTCGTCATTTAGCATTAGGTATATCTCTCAATGCTATCCCTCCCCCCTCCCCCCACCCCACAACAGTCCCCAGAGTGTGATATTCCCCTTCCTGTGTCCATGTGATCTCATTGTTCAATTCCCACCTATGACTGAGAATATGCAGTGTCTGGTTTTATGTTCTTGTGATATTTTACTGAGAATGATGATTTCCAATTTCACCCACGTCCCTACAAAGGACATGAACTCATCATTTTTATGGCTGCATAGTATTCCACGGTGTATATGTGCCACATTTTCTTAACCCAGTCTATCATTGTTGGACATTTGGGTTGGTTCCAAGTCTTTGCTATCGTGAATAATGCTGCAATGAATATACGTGTTCATGTGTCTTTATAGCAGCATGATTTATAGTCCTTTGTGTATATACCCAGTAATGGGATGGCTGGGTCAAATGGTATTTCTAGTTCTAGATCCCTGAGGAATCGCCACACTGACTTCCACAATGGTTGAACTAGTTTACAGTCCCACCAACAGTGTAAAAATGTTCCTATTTCTCCACATCCTCTCCAGCACCTGTTGTTTCCTGACTTTTTAATGATTGCCATTCTAACTGGTGTGAGATGGTATCCCATTGTGGTTTTGATTTGCATTTCTCTGATGGCCAGTGATGATGAGCATTTTTTCATGTGTTTTTTGGCTGCATAAATGTCTTCTTTTGAGAAGTGTCTGTTCATGTCCTTTGCCCACTTTTTGATGGGGTTCTTTGTTTTTTTCTTGTAAATTTGTTTGAGTTCATTGTAGATTCTGGATATTAGTCCTTTGTCAGATGAGGAGGTTGCAAAAATTTTCTCCCATTCTGTAGGTTGCCTGTTCACTCTGATGGTAGTTTCTTTTGCTGTGCAGAAGCTCTTTAGTTTAATTAGATCCCATTTGTCAATTTTGTCTTTTGTTGCCATTGCTTTTGGTGTTTTAGACATGAAGTCCTTGCCCATGCTTATGTCCTGAATGGTAATGCCTAGGTTTTCTTCTAGGGTTTTTATGGTTTTAGGTCTAACGTTTAAGTCTTTAATCCATCTTGAATTGATTTTTGTATAAGGTGTAAAGAAGGGATCCAGTTTCAGCTTTCTCCATATGGCTAGCCAGTTTTCCCAGCACCATTTATTAAATAGGGAATCCTTTCCCCATTGCTTGTTTTTCTCAGGTTTGTCAAAAATCAGATAGTTGTAGATATGTAGCATTATTTCTGAGGGCTCTGTTCTGTTCCATTGATCTATATCTCTGTTTTTGTACCAGTACCATGCTGTTTTGGTGACTGTAGCCTTGTAGTATAGTTTGAAGTCAGGTAGTATGATGCCTCCAGCTTTGTTCTTTTGCCTTAGGATTGACTTGGTGATGCGGGCTCTTTTTTGGTTCCATATGAACTTTAAAGTAGTTTTTTCCAATTGTGTGAAGAAAGTCATTGGTAGCTTGATGGGGATGGCATTGAATCTGTAAATTACCTTGGGCAGTATGGTCATTTTCACGATATTGATTCTTCCTACCCATGAGCATGGTATGTTCTTCCATTTGTTTGTATCCTCTTTTATTTCACTGAGCAGTGGTTTGTAGTTCTCCTTGAAGAGGTCCTTCACATCCCTTGTAAGTTGGATTCCTAGGTATTTTATTCTCTTTGAAGCAATTGTGAATGGGAGTTCGCTCATGATTTGGCTCTCTGTTTGTCTGTTGTCAGTGTATAAGAATGCTTGTGATTTTTGTACATTGATTTTGTATCCTGAGACTTTGCTGAAGTTGCTTATGAGCTTAAGGAGATTTTGGGCTGAGACGATGGGGTTTTCTAGATATACAATCATGTCGTCCGCAAACAGGAACAATTTGACTTCCTCTTTTCCTAATTGAATACCCTTTATTTCCTTCTCCTTCCTAATTACCCTGGCCAGAACTTCCAACACTATGTTGAATAGGAGTGGTGAGAGAGGGCATCCCTATCTTGTGCCAGTTTTCAAAGGGAATGCTTCCAGTTTTTGCCCATTCAGTATGATATTGGCTGTGGGTTTGTCATAGATAACTCTTATTATTTTGAAATACGTTCCATCAGTACCTAATTTATTGAGTTTTTAGCATGAAGTGTTGTTGAATTTTGTCAAAGGCCTTTTCTGCATCTATTGAGATAATCATGTGGTTTTTGTCTTTGGCTCTGCTGGATTACATTTATTGATTTGTGTATATTGAACCAGCCTTGCATCCCAGGGATGAAGCCCACTTGATCATAGTGGATAAGCTTTTTGATGTGCTGCTGGATTCGTTTTGCCAGTATTTTATTGAGGATTTTTGCATCAATGTTGATCAAGAATATTGATCTACAATTCTCTTTTTTCTTTGTGTCTCTATCCGGCTTTGGTATCAGAATGATGCTGGCCTCATAAAATGAGTTAGGGAGGATGCCCTCTTTTTCTATTGATTGGAATAGTTTCAGAAGGAATGGTACCAGTTCCTCCTTCTACCTCTGGTAGAAATCGGCTGTGAATCCATCTGGTCCTGGACTCTTTTTGGTTGGTAAGCTATTGATTATTGCCACAATTTCAAATCCTGTTATTGGTCTATTCAGAGATTCAACTTCTTCCTGGTTTAGTCTTGGGAGAGTGTATGTGTTGAGGAATTTATCCATTTCTTCTAGATTTTCTAGTTTATTTGCATAGAGGTGTTTGTAGTATTCTCTGATGGTAGTTTGTATTTCTGTGGGATCGGTGGTGATATCCCCTTTATCATTTTTTATTGCGTCTATTTGATTCTTCTCTCTTTTTTTCTTTATTAGTCTTGCTAGCGGTCTATCAATTTTGTTGATCCTTTCAAAAAACCAGCTCCTGGATTCATTAATTTTTTGAAGGGTTTTTTGTGTCTCTATTTCCTTCAGTTCTGCTCTGATTTTAGTTATTTCTTGCCTTCTGCTAGTTTTTGAATGTGTTTGCTCTTGCTTTTCTAGTTCTTTTAATTGTGATGTTAGGGTGTCAATTTTTGATCTTTCCTGCTTTCTCTTGTGGACATTTAGTGCTATAAATTTCCCTCTACACACTGCTTTGAATGTGTCCCAGAGATTCTGGTATGTTGTGTCTTTGTTCTCGTTGGTTTCAAAGAACATCTTTATTTCTGCCTTCATTTCGTTATGTACCCAGTAGTCATTCAGGAGCAGGTTGTTCAGTTTCCATGTAGTTGAGCGGTTTTGAGTGAGATTCTTAATCCTGAGTTCTAGTTTGATTGCACTGTGGTCTGAGAGAGTTTGTTATAATTTCTGTTCTTTTACATTTGCTGAGGAGAGCTTTACTTCTCACTATGTGGTCAATTTCGGAATAGGTGTGGTGTGGTGCTGAAAAAAATGTATATTCTGTTGATTTGGGGTGGAGAGTTCTGTAGATGTCTATTAGGTCTGCTTGGTGCAGAGCTGAGTTCAATTCCTGGGTATCCTTGTTGACTTTCTGTCTCATTGATCTGTCTAATGTTGACAGTGGGGTGTTAAAGTCTCCCATTATTAATGTGTGGGAGTCTGTCTCTTTGTAGGTCACTCAGGACTTGCTTTATGAATCTGGGTGCTCCTGTATTGGGTGCACATATATTCAGGATAGTTAGCTCTTCTTGTTGAATTGATCCCTTTACCATTATGTAATGGCCTTCTTTGTCTCTTTTGATCTTTGTTGGTTTAAAGTCTGTTTTATCAGAGACTAGGATTGCAACCCAAACTGGAAACTCTAAAAAGCAGAGTGCCTCTCCTCCTCCAAAGGAATGCAGTTCCTCACCAGCAATGAACAAAGCTGGATGGAGAATGATTTTGACGAGCTGAGAGAAGAAGGCTTCAGAGGATCAAATTACTCTGAGCTACGGGAGGACATTCAAACCAAAGGCAAAGAAGTTGAAAACTTTGAAAAAAATTTAGAAGAATGTGTAACTAGAATAACCGATACAGAGAAGTGCTTAAAGGAGCTGATGGAGCTGAAAACCAAGGCTTGAGAACTACATGAAGAATGCAGAAGCTTCAGGAGCCAATGCTATCAACTGGAAGAAAGGGTATCAGCAATGGAAGATGAAATGAATGAAATGAAGCGAGAAGGGAAGTTTAGAGAATAAAGAGTAAAAAGAAATGAGCAAAGCCTCCAAGAAATATGGGACTATGTGAAAAGACCAAATCTACGTCTGACTGGTGTACCTGAAAGTGATGGGGAGAATGGAACCAGGTTGGAAAACACTCTGAAGGAAATTATCCAGGAGAAATTCCCCAATCTAGCAAGGCAGGCCAACATTCAGATTCAGGAAATACAGAGAACGCCACAAAGACACTCCTCGAGAAGAGCAACTCCAAGACACATAATTGTCAGATTCACCAAAGTTGAAATTAAGGAAAAAATGTTAAGGGCAGCCAGAGAGAAAGGTCGGGTTACCCTCAAAGGGAAGCCCATCAGACTAACAGTGGATCTCTCGGCAGAAACCCTACAAGCCAGAAGAGAGTGGGGGCCAATATTCAACATTCTTAAAGAAAAGAATTTTCAACCCAGAATATCATATCCAGCCAAACTAAGCTTCATAAGCGAAGGAGAAATAAAATACTTTACAGAAAAACAAATGCTGAGAGATTTTGTCATCACCAGGCCTGCCCTAAAAGAGCTCCTGAAGGAAGTGCTAAATACGGAAAGGAACAACCGGTACCAGCCACTGCAAAATCATGCCAAAATGTAAAGACCATCGAGACTAGGAAGAAACTGCATCAATTAACGACCAAAATAACCAGCTAACATCATAATGATAGGATCAAATTCACACATAACAATATTAACTTTAAATTTAAATGGACTAAATGCTCCAATTAAAAGACACAGACAGGCAAATTGGATAAAAATCAAGACCCATCAGTGTGCTGTATTCAGGAAACCCATCCCACGTGCAGAGACACACACAGGCTCAAAATAAAAGGATGGAGGAAGATCTACCAAGCAAATGGAAAGCTTCTGTCTAGTTTCTATGTGAAGATATTTCCTTTTCCACCACAGGCCTCAAAGCACTCCAAATATCCACTTGCAGATCCTTCAGAAAGAGTGTTTTGAAACTGCTCTACCAAAAGGAATGTTCAACTCTGTGAGTTGAATGCACACATCACAAAGAAGTTTCTGAGAATGCTTCAGTCTCATTTTATTTGAAGCTATTCCCTTTTCAAACGAAGGCCTCAAATCGGTCTAAATATCCACTTGCAGTCTCTACAAAAAGATTGTTTCAAAACTGCTCTATCAAAAGTAATGTTCAACTCTGTGAGTTGAATGCACACATCTCAAAGTAGTCTGAGATTGCTTCTTTCTAGTTTGTATATGATGATATTTCCTTTTCTGCCATAGGCCTCAAAGCGGTAAAATATCCACTTGCAGATTCTACAAAAAGAGTGTTTCAAAACTACTCTTTCAAAAGGAAAGTTCAATTCTGTGAGTTGAATGCACACATCACAAAGCTGTTTTTGAGAATGCTTCTGTCTAGTTTTAATGTGAAGATATTCCCATATACACTGAAGTCATCAAAGCCATCAAAATATCCACTTGCAGATTCTTGAAAAAGCGTGTTTCAAAACTGCTCTACCAAAAGGGATGTTCAACTCTGTGAGTTGAATGTACACATCACAAAGAAGTTTCTGAGAATGCTTCTGTCTAGTTTCTATGTGAAGATATTTCCTTTTCCACCACAGGCCTGAAAGCGCTCCAAATGTCCACTTGCAGATACTACAAAAAGAGTGTTTCAAAGCTGCTCTATCAAAAGAAAGTTCCACTCTGTGTGTTGAATGCACACATCACAAAGAAATTTCTGAGAATGCTTCTGTCTCCTTTTTATGTGAAGCTATTCCCTTTTCCAACGAAGGCCTCAAATCGGTCCAAATATCCAGATGAAGTTTCTACAAAAAGAGTGTTTCAAAACTGCTCTGTCAAAAGGAAGGTCCAACTCTGTAACTTTAATGCACACATCACAAAGAATTTTCTGAGAATGCTTCTGTCTAGTTTCTATATGAACATATTTCCTTTTCCACCACAAGCCTAAAAGAGCTCCAAATATCCACTTGCAAATTCTACAAAAAGAGTGTTTCAAAACTGCTCTACCAAAAGAAAGGTTCAATTCTGTGAGTTGAATGCACACATCACAAAGAAGTTTCTGAGAATTCTTCTGTCTACTTTTTATGTGAAGCTAATCCCGTTTCCAACAAAGGCCTCAAAGCGTTAAAAATATCCACTTGCAGATTCCACGGAAAGAGTGGTTCAAAACTGCTCTATCAAAGGGAAGGTTCAACTGTCTGAGTTGAATACACACATCACAAAGTAGTCTCTGATAATGCTTCTGTCTAATCTTTATGTCAAGCTATTCACGTTTCCACCATAGGCCTAAAAGCGGTCCATATATCCACTTACAGATTCTACAAAAATAGTGTTTCAAATGAGCTCTATCAAAAGGGTTGTTCAACTCGGTGAGATGAATGTACACATCACAAAGAAGTTTCTGGGAATGCTTCTGTCCAGTTTCTATGTGAAGATATTTCCTTTTCCACCACAGGCCTGAAGGCGCTCCAAATGTCCACTTGCAGATTCTAAAAAAAGAGTGTTTCAAAACTGCTCTATCAAAAGAAAGGTTCAAATTTTTGAGTTGAATGCACAAATCACAAAGAACTTTCTGAGAATGCTTCTGTCTGATTTTTATGTGAAGCTATTCCCTTTTCCAACGAAGGCCTCAAAGCGGTCCAAATATCCACTTGCAGTTTCTACAAGAAGAGGGTTTCAAAACTGCTCTATCAAAAGGAATGTTCAACTCTGTGAGTTGAATGCACACATCAGAAAGTCGTTTCTAAGAATGCCTCAGTCTGGTGTTTATATGAAGATATTTCCTTTTCTACCACAGGACTCAGTGCACTCTAAATATCCACTTGCAGACTGTAACAAAAGAGTGTTTCAAAAGGGCTCTATCAAAAGGAAGGTTCAAATCTGTAAGTTGAAAGCACACATCACAAGGTACTTTCTGAGAATGCTTCTATCTAGTTTCTATGTGAAGATATTTCATTTTCCACCACAGGCCTCAAAGCGCCCCAAATATCCACTTTCAGATCCTTCAAAAAGATTGTTTTGAAATTGCTCTATCAAAATGAAGGTTCAACTCTGTGAGTTGCATGCACACATCACAATGCAGTTTCTTAGAATGCTTCTGTCTACCCTTTATGAAAAGCTATTCCCGTTTCCACCGTAGGCCTCAAAGCGGTCCAAATATCCACTTGCAGATTCAAGAAAAAGAGTGTTTCAAAACTGCTCTATCAAAAGGAATGCTCAACTCTGTGAGTTGAATGCACACATCAAAGAGAAGTTTCTGAGAATGCTTCTGTCTACTTTTTATATGAAAATATTTCCTTTTCTACCATAGGCCTCAAATCGGTACAAATATCCACTTTCAGATTCTACACAAAGACTGCTTCAAAATTGCTCTTTCAAAAGAGAGGTTCAATTCTGTCAGTTGAATGCACACATCACAAAGAAGTTTCTGAGAATGCTTCTGTCTACTTTTTATGTGAAGATATTCCTGTTTTCACTGAAGGCCTCAAAGCCGTCAAAATATCCACTTGCAGATCCTTCAAAAAGCGTGTTTCAAATCTGTTCTATCAAAAGGAAGGTTCAACCCTGTGAGTTGAATGCACACAACACAAAGAAGTTTCTGAGAATGCTTCTGTCTAGTTTCTATGCGAAGACATTTCCTTTTCTACCACAGGCCTCAAAGCACTCCAAATATCCACTTGCAGATTCTACCAAAAGAGTGTTTCAAAACTTCTCTATCAAAAGCAAGGTTCAACTCTGTGATTTGAATGCACACATCACAAAGTAGTGTCTGAGAATGCTTCCGTCTAATTTTTATATGAAGATATTTCCTTTTCTACTGTTGGCCTCAAACCCGTGCAAATATCGACTTACAGATTCTACAAAAAGAGTGTTTCAAAACTGCTCTTTCAAAAGGAAAGTGCAGTTCTGTGAGATGAATTCACACATCACAAAGAAGTTTTTGAGAATGCTTTCATCTAGTTTCTATGTGAAGATATTCCCATTTACACTGAAGGCCTCAAAGCCGTCAAAATATCCATTTGCAGATTCAAAAAAAAAGCGTGTTTCAAAACAGCTCTATCAAAAGGAAGGTTCAACTCTCTTAGTTGAAGGCACACATTGCAAAGTAGTTTCTGAGAACGCTTCTGTCTAGTTTCTATGTGAAGATATTTCCTTTTCCGCAGGCCTCAAAGCACTCAAAATATCCACTTCCAGATTCTACAAAAAAGTGTGTTCCAAAACTGCTCTGTCAAAAGGAATGTTCAATTATGTGAGTTGAATGGACACATGACAAAGAAGTTTCTGAGAATGCTTCTGTCTTCTTTTTATGTGAAGCTCTTCCCATTTCCTAAGAAGCCCTCAAAGTGCTCCAAATATTCACTTGCAGATGCTACAAAAAGAGTGTTTCAAAAGGGCTCTATCAAAAGGGATGTTCAACTCTGTGAGTTGAATGTACACATCACAAAGAAGTCTCTGAGAAAGTTTCTATCTAGTTTTTATATGAAGATATTCCTATTCTACCCTAGGCCTCAAAGCACTCCAAATATCCACTTGCAGATTCTTCAAAAAGAGTGTTTCAAAACTGCTCTATCAAAAGGAAGGTTCAACTCTGTTAGTTGAATATACACATCACAAAGAAGTTTCTGAGAATGCTTCTGTCTCCTTTTAATGTGATGCTAATCCCGTTTCCAACGAAGGCCTCAAAACAGGCCAAATATCCAGTTGCAGATTCTTCAAAAAGAGTGTTTCAAAACTGCTCTATCAAAAGGAAGGTTCAACTCTGTTAGTCGAATGTACACATCACAAAGAAGTTTCTGAGAATGGTTCTGTCTACTTTTTATATGAAGCTATTTCCGTTTCCAACGAAGTCCTCAGAGCACTCCAAATATCCACTTGCAGATTCTTCAAAAAGACTGTTTCAAAACTGCTCTAACAAAAGGATGGTTCAACTCTGATAGTTGAATGCACACATCACAAAGAAGTTTCTGAAAATTCTTCTGTCTACTTGTTATGTGAAGCTATTCCCGTTTCCAATAAAGGCCTCAAAGCACTCCAAATATCCACTTGCAGATTCTTGAAAAAGAGTGTTTCAAAACTGCTCTATCAAAAGGAAGGTTCAACTCTGTGAGTTGAATGCACACATCACAAAGTAGCTTCTGACAATGCTTCTGTCTAGTTTTTATATGAAGATATTTCCTTTTCTACTGGAGGCTTCAAAACGGCCCAAATATCTACTTTCAGATTACACAAAAAGAGTGTTTCAAAACGGCACTTTCAAAAAGGAGGTTCAATTCTGTGAGTTGAATGCACACATCACAAAGAAGTTTCTGAGAATGCTTCTCTCTAGTTTCTATGTGAAGATATATCCTTTTCCACCACAGTCCTCAAAGAGCTCCAAATGTCCACTTGCAAATTCCACAAAAAAGTGATTGAAAACTGCTCTATCATCAAAGGAAGCTTCAACTCTGTGAGTTGAATGCAAACATCACAGAGAAGTTTCTGAGAATGCTTATATCTAGTTTGTATGTGAAGATATTTCCTTTTCCACCACAGGCCTTAAAGCGCGCCTAATGTCCACTTGCAGATTCTACAAAAAGAGTGTTTCAAAACTGTTCTGTCAAAAGAATGTTCTCTCTGTGAGTTGAATGCACACATCACAAAGAAGTTCCTGAGAATGCTTCTGTCTACTTTTTCTGTGAATCTAATCCCTTTTCCAAAGAAGGCCTCAAATCGGTCCAAATATCCACACGCAGTTTCCACAAAAAGACTGTTTCAAAACTGCTCTATCAAAAGGAAGTTTCAACTCTATAAGTTTAATGCACACATCACAAAGTACTTTCTGACAATGCTTCTCTCTAGTTTCTATGTGAAGATATTTCCTTTTCCACCACAGGCCTCAAAGAGCTCCAAATGTCCACTTACAAATTTTACAAAAAAAGTGTTTCAAAACTCCTCTATCAGAAGAAAGGTACAACTCTGTGAGTTGAGTGCACACATCACAAAGAAGTTTCTGAGAATTCTTCTGTCTAGTTTCTAGGTGAAGATATTTCCTTTTCCACCACAGGACTCAAAGAGCTCCAAATGTCCACTTGTCGATTCTACAAAAAGAGTGTTTCAAAACTGCTCTATCAAAAGGAAGGTTTAACTCTGTAAGTTTAATGCACACATTACAAAGAAGTTTATGAGAATGCTTCTCTCTAATTTCTATGTGAAGATATTTCCTTTTCCACCGCAGGCCTCAAAGTGCTCCAAATGTCCACTTGAGATTCTACAAAAAGAGTGTTTCAAAACAGCTCTGTCAAAAGGAATATTCAACTCTGTGAGTTGAATACACACATCACAGAGAAGTTTCTGAGAATGCTTCTGTCTACTTTTTATGTGAAGCTATTCCCATTTCCAATGAAGGCCTCAAAGCAGTACAAATATCCACTTGCAGGTTCTTCAAATCAGTGTTTCAAAACTGCTCTATCAAAAGGAAGGTTCAACTCTGTGAGTTGAATGAAAACATCGCAAAGTAGATTCTCAGAATGCTTCTGTCTAGTTTTTATATGAAGCTATTTCCTTTTCTACTGTAGGCTTCAATACGGTCCAAATATACACTTGCAGATACTACCAAAAGAGTGTTTCAAAACGGCACTTTCAAATCGAAGGTTCACTTCTGTGAGTTGAATGCATACATCATAAAGAAGTTTCTCAGAATGCTTCTCTCTAGTTTCTATCTGAAGCTATATCCTTTTCCACCACAGTCCTCAAAGAGCTCCAAATGTCCATTTGCAAATTCTACAAAAAGAGTGATTCAAAAGTACTCTATCAAACGGAAGTTTCAATTCTGTTAGTTGAATGCACACATCACAAAGTAGTTTCTGAGAATGCTGCTGCCTGCTCTTTACGTCAAGCTATTCCCGTTTCCACCATAGGCCTAAAAGCGTTCCAAATATCCACTTGCAGATTCTACAAAAAGAGTGTTTCAAAACTGCTCTATCAGAAAGAATGTTCAACTCTGTGAGTTGAATGCAAACATCCAAAGTAGATTCTCAGAATGCTTCTGTCTAGTTTTTATATGAAGATATTTTCTTTTATGCCTCAAAGCACTCCAAATATCCACTTGCAGATCCTTCAAAAAGAGTGTTTCAAAACTGCTTTTTCAAAAGGAAGGTTCAACTCTGTGAGGTGAATGCACACATCAGAAAGTTGTTTCTGAGAATGCTTCTGTCTACCTTTTATGTGAGGCTATTCCCTTTTCCATTGATGTCCTCAAAGCGGTCCAAATATTCACCTGCTGATTCTACAAAAAGAGTGTTAGAAAACTTCTCTATCAAAAGGAATGTTCAACTCGGTGAGTTGAAAGCACACATCACAAAGTAGTTTCTGAGAATGCTTCTGTCAGGTTTTTATGTGAAGATATTTCCTTTTCTACTGTAGGCCTCAAAGTGGTCCAAATATCCACTTGCAAATTCTGCAACAAGATGTTTCAAAACAGCTTTATCAAAAGGAAGGTTCAACTCTGTGAGTTGAATGCACATATCACAAAGAAGTTTCTGAGAATGCTTCTGTCTAGTTTCTATATGAAGATATTTCCTTTTCCACCAGAGGCCTCAAAGCGCTCCACATGTCCATGTGCAAATGCTACAGAAAGAGTGTTTCAAAACTGCTTGATCAAAAGCAAGTTTCAACTCTGTCAGATGAAGGCACACATCACAAATAAGTTTCTGAGAATGTTTCTGTCTTGTTTTTATGTGATGCTATTCCCGTTGCCACCACAGGACTGAAAGCGCTCCAAATATCCAATTCCATATTCTACAAAAAGAGTGTTTCAAAACTTCTCTGTCAAAAGGAATGTTCAACTCTGTGAGTTCAATGCAAACATCCAAAGTAGTTTCTGAGAATGCTTCTGTCTAGTTTTTATAGTTTTTATATGAAGATATTTTCTTTACTAACACAGGCCTCAAAACACTCCAAATATCCACTTGCAGATCATTCAAAAAGACTGTTTCAAAGCTACTCTATCAAAAGGAAGGTTCAACACTGTGAGTTGAATGCACACATCACAAATAAGTTTCTGAGAATGCTTCTGGCTACTCTTTATGTCAAGCTATTCCCGTTTCCACCACAGGCCTCAAAGCTGTCCAAATATCCACTTGCAGATTCTACAAAAAGATTGTTTCAAAACTGCTCTTTCAGAAGGAAAGTTCAATTCTGTGAGTTGAATGCACACATCAAAAACATGTTTTTGAGAATGTTTCTGTCTAGTTTTTATATGAAGATATTCCCATTTCTACCGAAGGCCTCAAAGCCATCAAAATATCCACTACCAGATTCTTCATAAAGCGTGTTTCCAAACTGCTCCATCAAAAGGAAGGTTCAATTCGGTGAGTTGAATGCACACATCACAAACAAGTTTCTGAGAATGCTTCTCCCTAATTTCTATGTGAAGATATTTCCTCTTCCACCACAGGCCTCAAAGCGCTCCAAATATCCACTTGCAAATTCTACAAAAAGAGTATTTCAAAACTGCTCTATCAAAAGAAACGTTCAACTCTGTGAGATGAATGCACAGATCACTAAGAAGTTTCTGAGATTGCGTCTGTCTACTTTTTATGTGAAGCTATTCCCATTTCCAACGAAGGTCTCAAATCGGTCCAAATATCCAATTGCAGTTTGTACAAAAAGAGGGTTTCAAAACTGCTCTGTCAAAAGGAAAGTTCAAATCTGTGGGTTGAATGCAGACATCACAAAGAAGTTTCTGAGAATGTTTGTTTACTTTTTATGTGAAAATCTATTCCCGTTTCTCATGAAGGCCTCAAAGCACTCCAAATATCCACTTGCAGATTCTACAAAAAGAGTGTTTCAAAACTCTTCTATCAAAAGGGATATTCAACTCTCTGAGTTGAATGTACACATCACAAAGAAGTTTCTCGGAATGCTTTTCTAGTTTCTATGTGAAGATATTTCCCTTTCCGCCAAAGACCTAAAAGTCCTCCAAATGTCCACTTGGAGATTCTACAAAAAGAGTGTTTCAAAACTGCTCTATCAAAAGAAGGTTCAATTCTGTGAGTTGAATGCACACATCACAAAGAAGTTTCTGAGAATGCTTCTGCCTCGTTTTTATGTGAAACTATTCCCGTTTCCAATGAAGGCCTCAAATCGGTCCAAATATCCACAGCATTTTCTACAAAAAGAGTGTTTCAAAACTGCTCTATCAAAAGGGATGTTCAACTCCGTGAGATGAATGCACACATCACAAAGTAGTTTCTAAGAATGCTTCTGTCTAGTTTTTATATGAAGATATTTCCTTTTCTACCACAGGACTCAAAGCACTCCAAATATCCACTTGCAGATTCTACCAAAAGAGTGTTTCAAAACTGCTCTATTAAAAGGAAGGTTCAACTCTGTAAGTTGAATGCCCACATCACAAAGAAGTTTCTGAGAATGCTTCTCCCTAGTTTCTAGGTGAATATATATGCTTTTCCACCACAGGCCTCAAAACGCTCCAAATATCCACTTGCAGATACTTCGAAAACAGTGTTTCAAAACTGCTCTGGCCAGGCGCGTTGGCTCACGCCTGTAATCCCAGCACTTTGGGAGGCTGAAGCGGGCGGATCATGAGGTCAGGAGATCGAGACCATCCTGGCTAACACGGTGAAACCCCGTCGCTACTAAAAATACAAAAAAAAAAAAAAATAGCTGGGCATGGTGGCGGGCACCTGTAGTCCCAGCTATGTGGGAAGCTGAGGCAGGAGAATGGCGTGAACCCAGGAGACGGAGGTTGCAGTGAGCTGAGATCATGCCACTGCACTCCAGCCTGGGGACAGAGCGAGACTCCATATCAAAAAAAACTGCTCTAGCAAAATGAAGGTTCAACTCTGAATTGAATGCACACATCACAATGTAGTTTCTTAGAATGCTTCTGTCTACTCTTTATGACAAGCTACACCCGTTTCCACCATAGGCCTCAAAGCGGTCCAAATATCCACTCGCAGGTTCAACAAAAAGAGTGTTTCAAAACTGCTCTATCAAAAGGAATGTTCAACTCTGTGAGTTGAATGCACACACCACAAAGAAGTTTCTGAGAATGCTTCTGTCTGCTTTTTATATGAAAATATTTCCTTTTCTACCATAGGCCTCAAAGCGGTCCAAATATCCGCTTTCAGATTCTACACAAAGAGTGCTTCAAAATTGTTCTTTCAAAAGAAAGGTTCAATTCTGTCAGTTTAATGCACACGTCACAAAGAAGTTTTTGAGAATGATTCTCTCTAGTTTTTATGTGAAGATATTCCCATTTCCACCGAAGGCCTCAAAGCCATCAAAATATCCACTTGCAGATTCTTCAAAAAGAGTGTTTCAAATCTGCTCTATCAAAAGGAAGGTTCAACCCTGTGAGTTGAATGCACAGAACACAAAGAAGTTTCTGAGAATGCTCTGTCTTGTTTCTATGTGAAGACATTTCCTTTTTCACCACAGGCCTCAAAGCACTCCAAATATCCTCTTGCAGATTCTACCAAAAGAGTGTTTCAAAACTACTCTATCAAAAGGAAGGTTCAACTCAGTAAGTTGAATGCACACATCACAAAGAAGATCCTGAGAATGTTTCTCTCTAGTTTCTATGTGAAGATATTTCCTTTTCCACCACAGGCCTCAAAGCTCTCCAAATGTGCACTTGCAAATTCTACAAAAAGAGTGTTTCAGAACTGCTCTGTCCAAAGGAATGCTCTGCTCTGAGTTGAATGCACACATCACAAATAAATTTCTGAGAATGCTTCTGTCTAGTTTTTACATGAAGCTATTCCCGTTTCCACCATAGGCCTCAAAGCGCTCCAATTATCCATTTCCAGATTCTCCAAAAAGAGTGTTTAAGACTGCTCTACCAAAAAGAAGTTTCAACTCTGTGAGTTGAATGCATACATCACAAAGAAGTTTCTGAGAATGCTTCTGTCTAGTTTCTATGTGAAGGCATTCCCGTTTCCAGCGAAGGCTTCAAACCCGTCTAAATATCCACTTGCATATTCAACATAAAGAGTGTTTATACCCAAAGGACTATAAATCATGCTGCTATAAAAACACATGCACACGTGTGTTTATTGTGGCACTATTCACAATAGCAAAAACTTGGAACCAATCCAAATGTCCAACAATGATAGGCTGGATTAAGAAAATGTGGCACATATACACCTTGGAATACTGTGCAGCCATAAAAAATGATGAGTTCATGTCCTTTGTAGGGACATGGATGAAATTGGAAATTATCATTCTCAGTAAACTCTCGCAAGGACAAAAAACCAAACACCGCATATTCTTACTCATAGGTCGGAATTCAACAATGGGAACACATGGACACATTAAGGGGAACATCACACTCTGAGGCCTGTTATGGGGTGGGGGGAAGGGGGGAGGGATGTCATTGGGAGATATAACTAATGCTAGATGACGATTTAGTGGGTGCAGCGCACCAGCATGGCACATGTATAAATATGTAACTAACCTGCACATTGTGCATATGTACCCTAAAACAAAGTATAATAATAATAAAAAAGAAACAAAAAAAAAAAACAAAAAAAAATTTCTAAAAAACTGCCCTATGAAAAGTTCTGTTCAACTCTGTGAGTTGAATGCAAATATCACAAAGAAGTTTCTGAGAAGGCTTCTGTCTAGTGTTTATGTGAAATATTTCCTTTTCCACTGTAGCCCTCGAAGCCCTCCAAATGTCCTTTAGCAGATTCCAGAAAAAGAGTGTTTCAAATCTGTGCTAGCAAAAAGAAGGTTCAAATCTGTGAGTTGAATACACACATCACAAAGTAGCTTCTGAGAATGCTTCTGTCTAGTTTTTATGAGAAGATAACCACATTTCCAATGAAGGCCACAAAGCAGTCCAAATATCCACTTGCAGATTCTACAAAAAGAGGGTTTCAAAACTGCTCTATCAAAAGACTTGTTCAAATCTGTGAGTTGAATGTACACATCACAAAGAAGTTTCTGAGAATACTTCTGTCTAGTTTCCATGTGAAGATATTCCCTTTTCCACCACAGGCCTGAAAGCACTCCAAATGTCCTCTTGCAGATTCTACAAAAAGAGTGTTTCAAAACTGCTCTGTCAAAAGGAATGTTCAACTCTGTGAGTTGAATGCAAACATCCAAAGTAGTTTCTGAGAATGCTTCTGTCTAATTTTATATGACGATATTTCCTTTTCTACCATAGGCCTCAAAGCCCTCCAAATATCCACTTGCAGATCCTTCAAGAAGAGTGTTTCAAAACTGCTCTATCAAAAGGAAGGTTCAGCTCTATGAGTTAAATGCACATATCACAAAGAAGTTTCTCAGAATGCTTCTGTCTAGTTTCTATGTGAAGATACTTCCTTTTCCAACACAGGCCTCAAAGCGCTCCAAATCTCCACTTGAAGATTCTACAAAAAGAGTGTTTCAACACTGCTCTCTCAAAAAGAATGTTCAACTCTGTGAGTTGAATGCACAGATAACAAAGAAGTTTCTGAGAATGCTTCTGTGTACTTTTTAGGTGAAGCTATTCCCGTTTCTAACGAAGGCCTCAAATCGGTACAAATATCCAATTGCAGTTTCTACAAAAAGAGTGTTTCAAAACTGCTCTATCAAAAGGAAGGTTCAACTCTGAGTTGAAGGCACACATCAAAAGGAGGTTTCTTAGAATGCTTCTCTCTAGTTTCTATGTGAAGATATTACCTTTTCCACCAGAGGCCTCAAAGCGCTCTAGGTGTCCACCTGCAGATTCTACAAAAAGAGTGTTTCAAAACTGCTCTGTCAAAAGGAATGTTCAACTCTGTGAGTTGAATGCACACATCACAAAGAAGTTTCTGAGAATGCTTCTGTCTACTTTTTATGTGAAGTTATTCCCGTTTCCCACGAAGGCCTCAAAGCGCTCCAAATATCTGCTTCCAGATTCTACAAAAAGAGTGTTTCAAAACCACTCTATCAAAAGGGATGTTCAATTCTGTGAGTTGAATGTACACATCACAAAGAAGTTTCTCAGAAAGCTTCTTTCTAGTTTCTATCTGAAGATAATTCCCATTCCACCAAAAGCCTGAAAGCCCTCCAAATATCCACTTGGAGATTGTACTAAAAGAGTGTTTCAAACTGCTCTGTCAAAAGGAATGTTCAACTCTGTGAGTTGAATACACACATCACAAAGAAGTTTCTGAGAATGCTTCAGTCTCATTTTATTTGAAGCTATTCTCATTTCCAACGAAGACCTCAAATCGGTCTAAATATCCACTTGCAGTTTCTACAAAAAGATTGTTTCAAAACTGCTCTATCAAAAGTAATGTTCAACTCTGTGAGTTGAATGAACACAACTCAAAGTAGTTTCTGAGAATGCTTCTGTCTAGTTTGTATATGATGATATTTCCTTTTCTGCCATAGGCCTCAAAGCGGCCCAAATATCCACTTGCAGATACTAGAAAAAGAGTGTTTCAAAACTGCTCTTTCAAAAGGAAAGTTCAATTCTGTGAGTTGAATGCACACATCACAAAGTTGTTTTTGAGAATGCTTCTGTCTAGTTTTAATGTGAAGATATTCCCATATCCACTGAAGGCGTCAAATCCGTCAAAATATCCACTTGCAGATTCTTCAAATACCGTGTTCAAAACTGCTCTATCAAAAGGGATGTTCAATTCTGTGAGTTGAATGTACACATAACAAAGAAGTTTTTGTGAATGCTTCTGTCTAGTATCTCTGTGAAGATATTTCCTTTTCCACCACAGGCCTGAAAGCGCTCCAAATGTCCATTTGCAGATTCTACAAAAATAGTGTTTCTAAACTGCTCTATCAGAAGAAATTTCCACTCTGTGTGTTTAATGAACACATTACAAAGAAGTTTCTGAGAATGCTTCTGTCTCCTTTTTTTTTAGAAGCTATTCCCTATTCCAACGAAGGCCTCAAATCGGTCCAAATATCCACAAGCAGTTTCTACAAAAAGTGTTTCAAAACTGCTCTGTCAAAAGGAAGGTCCAACTCTGTAAGTATAATGCACACATCACAAAGAAGTTTCTGAGAATGCTTCCGTCTAGTTTCTATTTGAAGATATTTCCTTTTCCACCACAGGCCTCAAAGAGCTCCAACTGTCCACTTGCACATTCAAAGAGTGGTTCACAACTGCTCTTTCAAAAAAAAGGTTCAACTCTGTGACTTGAATGCACACATCACAAAGTAGTTTCTGATAATTCTTCTGTCTACTTTTTATGTCAAGCTATTCCCGTTTCCACCATAGGCCTAAAAGTGGTCCAAATATCCACTTACAGATTCTACAAAAAGTGTGTTTCAAAAGGGCTCTCTCAAAAGGGATGTTCAACTCGTTGAGCTGAATGTGCACATCACAAGAAGATTCTGGGAATGCTTCTGTCAAGTTTCTATGAGAAGATATTTCCTTTTCCACCACAGGCCTGAAATCACTCCAAATGTCCACATGCAGATTCTACAAAAAGAGTGTTTCAAAACTGCTGTTTCAAAAGGAATTTTCAATTCTGTGAGTTGAATGTGCACATCACAAAGGAGTTTTTGAGAATTCTTTTGTCTAGTTTTTATGTGAAGATATTCCCATTTACACGGAATGCCTCAAAGTCGTCAAAATATCCACTTGCAGATTCTACAAAAAGCATGTTTCAAAACTGCTCTATCAAAAGGAAAGTTCAACTCTGTTAGTTGAATGCACACATCACAAAGAAGTTTTTGAGAATGCTGCTGTCTAGCTTCTCTGTGAAGATTTTTTTTTCCACACAGGCCTCAAAGCGCTCCAAATGTCCACTTGCAGATTCTACAAAAAGAGTGTTTCAAAACAGCTCTTTCAAAAGGAATGTTCAACTCCGTGAGTTGAATGCACACATTACAAAGAAGTTTCTGAGAATGATTCTGTCTACTTTTTAAGTGAAGCTACTCCCGTTTCCAATGAAGGCCTCAAAGTGCTCCAAATATCCACTTGCAGATTCTACAAAAAGTCTGTCTCAGAAGGGCTCTATCTAAAGGGATGTTCAATTCTGTGAGTTGAATGTACACATCACAAAGTAGTCTCTGAGAATGCTTCTGTCTAGTTTTTATATGAAGATATTTCATTTTCTACCACAGGCCTCATAGCACTCCAAATATCCACGTGCAGATTCTTCAAAAAGAGTGTTTCAAAACTGCTCTATCAAAAGGAAGGTTCAAATCTTTTAGTTAAATGCACACATCACAAAGAAGTTTCTGAGAATACTTCTGTCTACTTTTTCATGGCATGCTACTCCCGTTTCCAATGAAGGCCTCAAAGCAATCCAAATATCCAGTTGCAGATTCTTCAAAAAGAGTGTTTCAAAACTGCTCTATCAAAAGGAAGGTTTAACTCTGTTAGTTGAATGCACACATCACAAATTAGTTTTTCAGAATGCTTCTCTCTATTTTTATGTGGAGCTATTCCCTTTTCCAATGAAGGTCTCAAAGCACTCCAAATATCCACTTGCAGATACTTCAAAAAGCGTGTTTCAAAGCTGTCCTATCAAAAGGAAAGTTCAACACTGTTAGTTGAATGCAAGCATCACAAAGAAGTTTCTGAGAATGCTTCTGTCTACTTTTTCTTTGAAGCTATTCCGTTTCCAACGAAGGCCTCAAAGCGCTCCAAATATCCACTTGCAAATTCTACAAAAAGAGGGTTTCAAAATGGCTCTATCTAAAGGGATGTTCAACTCTCTGAGTTGAATGTACACATCACAAAGTAGTCTCTGAGAATGCTTCTGTCTAGTTTCTATGTAAAGCTATTCCCGTTTCCTGCGAAGGCCTCCAAGCGCTCCAAATATCAACTTGCAGATTCTACAAAAAGAATGTTTCAAAAGGGCTCTATCAACTCTGTGTGTTGAATGTACACGTCAGAAGGAAGTCTCTGAGAATGCTTATGTCTAGTTTTTATATGAAGATATATCCTTTTCCAACACAGGCCTCAAAGCGCTCTTAATGTCCACTTGTAGATTCTACAAAAAGAGTGTTTCAATACTGCTCTGTCGAAAGGAATGTTCTACTGTGTGAGTTGAATGCACACATCACAAAGAAGTTTCTGAAAATGCTTCTTTCTACTTTTTATGTGAAGCTCCTCCTGTTTCCAATGAAGGCCTCAACGCACTCCAAATATCCACTTGCAGAAACTTAAAAAACAGGGTCTCAAAACTGCTCCATGCAAAGGAAGGTTCAACTCTGTGAGTTGAATGCAAACATCAAAATGTAGCTCCTGAGAATGCTTCTGTCTAGTTTTAGTATGAAGATATTTCCTTTTATACTGTAGACCTCAAAACGGTTCAAATATCCACTTGCAGATTCTACAAAAAGAGGGTTTCAAAATGGAAATTTCAAAACGAAGGTTCAATTCTGTGAGTTGAATGCACACACCACAAAGAACTTTATGAGAATGCTTCTCTCTAGTTTCTATGTGAAGATATATCCTTTTCCGCCACAGGCCTCAAGGCGCTCCTAATGTCCACTTGCAGATTCCACAAAAAGACTGTTTCAAAACTGGTCTGTCAAAAGGAATGTTCTACTCTGTGAGGTGAATGCACACATCACAAAGAAGTGTGTGATAATCCTTCTGTCTAGTTTCTATGTGAAGATATTTCCTTTTCCAAAAGGAAGGTTCAGTTCGGTTAGTTGAATGCACACATCATGAAGAAGTTTTTGAGAATGCTTTTGTCTAGTTTGTATGTGAAGATACTCCCATTTACACCAAAGGCCTCAAAGCCGTCAAAATATCCACTTGCAGATTCTACAAAAAGCGTGTTTCAAAACTGCTCTATAAAAAGGAAGCTTCAACTCTGTTAGTTGAATGCACACATCACAAAGAAGTTTCTGAGAATGCTTCTGTCTAGTTTCTATGTGAAGATATTTCCTTTTCCACACAGGTCTCAAAGCGCTCCAAATATACACTTGCATATTCTGCAAAAACAGTTTTTCAAAACTGCTCTGTCAAAAGGAATGTTCAACTCTGTGAGTTAAATGCACACATCACAAGGTAGTTTCTGAGAATGTTTCCGTCTACTTTTTATGTGAAGCTATTCCCGTTTCCTACAATGGCCTCAAAGCGCTCCAAATACCCACTTGCAGATTCTACAAAAAGAGTGTTTCAAAAGGGATCTATCAAAAGGGAAGTTAAACTCCGTCAGTTGAATATACACATCACAAAGGGATACCTGAGAATGCTTCTCTCTAGTTTCTATGTGAAGATATATCCTTTTCTACCACAGTCCTCAAAGAGCTCCAAATGTCCACTTGCAAATTCTACAAAAAGAATGATTCAAAACTGCTGTATCAGAAGGATGGTTCAACTCTTTAAGTTTAATGCACACATCACAAAGAAGTTTCTGAGAATGCTTCTGTCTAGTTTCTATGTGAAGATATATCCTTTTCCACCACAGGCTTCAAAGTGCTCCTAATGTCCACTTGCAGATTCTAAAAAAAGAGTGTTTAAAAACTGCTCTGTCAAAAGGAATGTTCTATTCTGAGTTGAATGCACACATCACAAAGAAGTTTCTGAGAATGCTTCCTCTAGTTCCTATGTGAAGATATATCCTTTTCCACCACAGTCCTCAAAGAGCTCCAAATGTCCACTTGCAAATTCTACAAAAAGAGTGATGCAAAACTGCTCTATCAAAAGGAATGTTCTACTGTGTGAGTTGAATGCACACATCACAAAGAAGTTTCTGAGAATGCTTCTCTTAGTTTCTATGTGAAGATACTTCCTTTTCCACCACAGGCCACAAAGCGCTCCAAATGTCCACTTGCAGATTCTACAAAAAGTGTTTCAAAACTGCTCTGTCAAAAGGAATGTTCAACTCTGTGAGTTGAATGCACACATCAAAAAGAAGTTTCTGAGAATGCTTCTGTCTACTTTTTATGTGAAGCTATTCCCGTTTCCAATGAAGGCCACAAAGCGATAAAAATATCCACTTGCAGATTCTACAAAAAGAGTGTTTCAAAACTGCTCTGTGATAAGGAATTTTCAACTCTGTGAGTTGAATTCACACGTCACAAATTAGTTTCTGAGAATGCTTCTGTCTACCTTTATATGAAGATATTTCCTTTTCCACTATAGGCCTCAAAAAGGTAGAAACATCCACTTGCAGATTCTACAAAAAGAGTGTTTCAAAACTGCACTTTCAAAGGAAGGTTCAATTCTGTGAGTTGAATGCACATATCATGAAGAAGTTTCTGAGAACGCTTCTATTTTCTATTTGAAGATATATCCTTTTCCACCACAGTTCTCAAAGAGCTCCAAATGTCCACTTGCAAATTCTGCAAAAAGAGTGATTCAAAATTGCTCCATCAAAAGGAAGGTTCAATTCTGTGGGTTGAATGCACACATCACAAAGAAGTTTCTCAGAATGTTTCTGTCTACTTTTTATGTGAAGCTATTCCCTTTTCCTACGAAGGAGTAAATTCGTTCCAAATATCCACATGCAGTTTCTACATGAAGAGTGTTTCAAAACTACTCTATCAAAAGGAAGGTTTAACTCTGTAAGTTCAATGCGCACGTCACAAAGTAGTTTCTGAGAATGCTTTTCTCTAGTTTCGATGTGAATGTATTTCCTTTTCCACCACAGGCCTCAAAGAGCTCCAAATGTACACTTACAAATTTTACAAAAAGGGTGTTTCAAAACTGCTCTATCAGAGGAAAAGTTCAACTCTGTGAGTTGAATGCACACACCACAAAAGACTTTTTGAGAATGCTTCTGTGTAGTTTCTATGTGAAGATATTTCCTTTTCCTCCACAGGCTTCATAGCGCTCCAAATGTCCTCTTGCAGATTCTACAAAAAGAGTGTTTCAAAACAGCTCTGTCAAAGGGAATATTCAACTCTGTGAGTTGAATGCACACATCACAGAGAAGTTTCTGAGAATGTTTCTGTCTACTTTTTATGTGAAGCTATTCCCTTTTCCAACGAAGGCCTCAAAGCGGTCCAAATATTCACTTGCAGATTCTACAAAAAGAGTGTTTCAAAACTGCTCTATGAAAAGGAATCTTCAACTCTGTGAGTTGAATGCACACATCACAAAGTAGTTTCTGAGAATGCTTCTGTCTAGTTTTTATATAAAGATATTCCCTTATCTACCGTAGACCTCAAAACGGTCTAAATATCCACTTGCAGATTCTACAAAAAGAGTGTTTCAAGACTGCCCTTTCAAAAGGAACGTTCAATTCTGTGAGTTGAATGCACACATCACAAAGAAGTTTTTGAGAATGCTTTTGTCTAGTTTTTATGTGAAGATATTCCCATATACACCGAAGGCCTTAAAGCCATCAAAATATCCACTTGCATATTCTACAAAAAGCATCTTTCAAAACTGCTGTATCAAAATGAAGGCTCAACTCCATTAGTTTAATGCACACATCGCAAAGAAGTTTCTGAGAATGCTTCTGTCTGCTTTTTATGTGAAGTTATTTCCGTTTCCAACAAAGGCCTCAAAGCCCTCCAAATATCCACTTGCAGATTCTTCAAAAAGAGTGTTTCAAAACTACTCTATCAAAAGGAAGGTTCAACTCTATGCGTTGAATGCAAACATCACAAAGTAGCTTCTGAGAAAGCTTCTGTCTAGTTATTGTATGAAGATACTTCCTTTTCTACTGTAGGCTTCAAAACCGTCCAAATATCCACTTGCAGATTCTACAAAAAGAGTGTTTAAAAATGGCACTTTCAAAACGAAGGTTCAATTCTGTGAGTTGAATGCACACATCACAAAGAAGTTTCTGAGAATGCTTCTTTCTACTTTTTATGTGAAGCTATTCTCGTTTCCAACGTAGACCTCAAAGCACTTCAAATATCCACTTGCAGATACTTCAAAAGGAGTGTTTCAAAACTGCTCTATCAAAAGGAACGTTCAACTCTGTGAGTTGAATGCACACATCACAAAGAAGTTTCTGAGAATGCTTCTGTCTACTTTTCATGTGAAGCTATTCCCCTCTTCAACATAGGCCTCAAAGCACTCTAAATGTCCACTTGCAGAATCTACAAAAAGAGTGTTTCAAAACTGCTGTATCAAAATAAAGATTCAACTCTGTGAGTTGAATGCACTCATCACAAAGAAGTTCCTGAGAATGACTTTGTCTAGTTTTTATGGAAAGATATTTCCTTTTTCACCATAGGCCTCAAAGAGCTCCAATTGTCCACTTGCAGATTCTACAAAAAGAGTGTTTCAAAACTGATCTAACAAAAGAAAGTTTCATCTCTGTGAGTTGAATGCACACATCACAAAGAAGTTTCTGAGAATGCTGCTGTCTAGTTTTCATGTGAAGATATCCCATTTCCAATGAAGGCCTCTAAGCAGTCCAAATATACACTTGCAAATTATACAAAGAGTGTTTCAAAACTGCTCTATGAAAAGAAAGGTTCAGCTCTGTGAGTTGAATGCACACATGACAAAGAAGTTTCTTCGAATGCTTCTGTGTAGTTTTTATGTGAAGAGATTTCGTTTTTCTCCATTGGCCTCAAAGCGCTCCAAACGTCCACTTGCAGATTCTACAAAAAGAGTGTTTCAAAACTGCTCTATCAAAAGAAAAGTTGAACTCTGTGAGTTGAATGCATACATCACAAAGAAGTTTCTGTCAATGCTTCTGTCTAGTTTTTATGGGAAGGTATTCCATTTCCAATGAAGGCCTCAAAGTGGTAGAAATATCCACTAGCAAATTCCACAAAAAGAGTGTTTCAAAACTGTTCTATTAAAACGAATGTTCAACTCTGTGTGTTGAAAGCAAAAAGCACAAAGAAGTTTCTGAGAATGCTTCTGTGCAGTTTTTAGGTGAAGATATTTCCTTTTTCACCACTGGCCTCAAAGCGCTCCAAATGTCCACTTGCAGATTCTACAAAAAGTGTGTTTCAAAACTGCTCTTTCAAAAGAAAGTTTCAACTCTGTGACTTGGATGCATACATCACGAAGAAGTTTATGTGAATTCTTCTGTCTAGTTTTTGTGTAAAGATATCCCGTTTCCAACGAAGGCCTCAAAGTGGTCCAAATATCCACTTGCAAATTCTACAAAAAGAGTGTTTCAAAACTGCTCTATGAAAAGGAAAGTTGAACTCTGTGAGTTGAAAGCAAACATCACAAAGAAGCTTCTGAGATGCCTCTGTCTAGTTTTTATGTGAAAATATTTCCTTTTTCACTAAAGGCCTCAAAGCACTCCAAATGTCCACTTGCAGATACTTCAAAAAGTGTTTTTCAAAACAGCTCTATCAAAAGAAAGGTTCATCTCTGTGAGTTGAATGCACAGATCACAAAGAAGTTTCTGAGAATTCTTCTGTGCAGTTTTTATGTGAAGATATTCCCTTTTTCACTGTAGACCTCAAAACACTATAAATGTCCACTTGCAGATTCTACAAAAAGAGTATTTCAAAACCGCTCTATCAAAAGAAAGTTCAACTCTGTGAGATGAATGCACTCATCACAAAAAAGTTTCTGAGAATGCTTCTGTATAGTTTTTATGTGAAGAGATTTCATTTTCCTCCATTGGCCTCAAAGCACACCAAATGTCCAGTTGCAGATTCTACAAAAAGAGGCTTTCAAGACTGCTCTATCAAAAAAAAGGTTCAATTCTGTGAGATGAATGCATACATTACAAAGAAGTTTCTCTCAATGCTTCTATCTAGTTTTTATGTGAAGGTATTCCGTTTCCAATGAAGGCCTCAAAGTGGTAAAAATATCGACTTGCAAATTCCACAAAAAGAGTGTTTCAAATCTGCTCTATGAAAAGGAATGTTCAACTCTGTGAGTTGAAAGCAAACATCACAAAGAAGTTTCTGAGAATGCTTCCGTGTAGTTTTTCTGTGAAGAGATTTCGCTTTTCTCCATTGGCCTCAAAGCGCTCCAAATGTCCACTTGTAGATTCTGCAAAAAGAGTCTTTCAAAACCACTCTATCAAAAGAAAGGTTCAAAACTGTGAGATGAATGCATACATCTCAAGGAAGTTTCTGTCAATGCTTCTGTCCAGTTTTTATGTGAAGGTATTCCGTTTCCAAAGAAGGCCTCAAATTGGTACAAATATCGACATTCAAATTCCACAAAAATAGTGTTTCAAAACGGCTCTATCAAAAGAGAGGTTCCACTCTGTGAGTTGAATGCACACATCACAAAGAAGATTCTGAGAACACTCCTGTGTAGTTTTTATGTGAAGGTATTCCCTTTTTCACCATATGCCTCAAAGCGCACCAAGTGTCCACTTGCAGATTCTAGAAAAAGAGGGCTTCAAAACTGCTCTATCAAAAGAAAGATTCAACTCTGTGAGTTCAATGCACTCATCACAAAGAAGTTTCTGAGAATGCTTCTCTCTGTTTTTATGTGAAGATATCCCTTTTCCAACGAAGGCCTCAAAGTGGTCCAAATATCCACTTGCAAATCCTACAAAAAGAGTGTTTCAAAACTGCTCTATGAAATGGAATGTTCAACTCTGTGAGTTGAAAGCAAACATCACAAAGAAGTTTCTGAGAGTGCTTCTGTGTGGTTTTTATGTGAGCATATTTCCTTTTTCACCACAGGCCTCAAAGCGCTGAAATGTCCACTTGCAGATTCTACAAAAATAGTGTGTCAAAACTGCTCTATCAAAAGAAAGGTTCAACTAGGTGAGTTGGATACACACATTACAAAGAAGTTTCTGTGAGTGCTTCTGTCTAGATTTTATGTGAAGATATCCTGTTTCCAACGAAAGCCTCAAAGTGCTCCAAATATCCACATGCAAATTCAACATAAAGAGTGTTTCAAAACTGCCATATGGAAATTAATGTTCAACTCTCTGAGTTGAAAGCAAACGTCACAAAGAAGTTTCTGAGAATGCTTCTGTGTAGTTTTTAAGTGAAGATATTTCCTTTTTCACCATTAACCTCAAAGCTCTCCAAATGTTCACTTGCAGATTTTACCAAAAGAATGTTTCAAAACTTCTCCATCAAAAGAAAGGTTAAACTCTCTGAGTTGAATGCACACATCACAAAAAATTTCCTGTGAATACTTCTGTCTAGTTATGTGAAGATATCCCATTTCCAACGAAGGCCTCTAAGAGGTCCAAATATACACTTGCAAATTCAGCAGAAAGAGTGTTTCAAATCTGCTCTATGAAAAGAAAGGTTCAACTCAGTGAGTTGAATGCACACATCACAAAAAGTTTCTGAGAATGCTTCTATATAGTTTTTATGTGAAGAGATTTGATTTTCCTCCATTGGCCTCAAAGCGCTCCAAATGTCCATTTGCAGATTCTACAAAAAGAGTCTTTCAAAACTGCTCTATCAAAAGAAAGGTTCAACTCTGTGAGTTGAATGCACACATTACAAAGAAATTTCTCTCAAAGCTTCTATCTAGTTTTTATGTGAAGGTATTCCATTTCCAACAGTGGCCTCAAAGTGGTACAAATATCGACTAGCAAATTCCACAAAAAGAGTGTTTCAAATCTGCTCTATGAAAAGGAATGTTCAACTCTGTGAGTTGAAAGCAAACAGCACAGAGAAGTTTCTAAGAATGCTTCTATGCAATTATCATGTGAAGATATTTCCTTTTTCATCGTAGGATTCAAAGCGCTCCAAATGTCCACTTGCAGGTTCTACAAAAAGAGTGTTTCAAAACTGCTCTATCAAAACAAAGATTCAACTCTGTGAGTTGA
Organism: Homo sapiens; assembly: GCF_000001405.40. Classification (NCBI taxonomy): domain Eukaryota; kingdom Metazoa; phylum Chordata; class Mammalia; order Primates; family Hominidae; genus Homo; species Homo sapiens. The sequence goes on along the minus strand of NC_000017.11, from coordinate 26,651,774 downwards.
ATGCACTCATCACAAAGAAGTTTCTGAGAATGCATCTGTCTAGTTTTTCTGTGCTAATTTTTCCTTTTTCAGCAAAGGCATCAAAGCGCTCAAAATGTCCACTTGAAGATCCTAAAAAAAGAGTGCTTCAAAACTGCTCTATCAAAAGAAAGGTTCATCTCTGTGAGTTGAATGCACACCTCACAAAAAAGTTTCTGAGAATGCTTCTGTCTAGTTTTAAATGTGAAGATATCCCGTTTCCAATGAAGGCCTCTGAGCGGTCCAAAAATCCACTTGCAAATTCAACAGAAAGAGTTTTTCAAATCTCCTCTATGAAAAGAAAGGTTCAACTCTGTGAGTTGAATGCACACATTACAAAGAAGTTTCTGAGAATGCCTCTGTATTGTTTTTATATGAAGATATTTCGTTTTTCTTCATTGTCCTCAAAGGGCTCCAAATGTCCACTTGCAGATTCTTCAAAAAGAGTCTTTCAAAACTGCTCTATCAAAAGAAAAGTTAAACTCTATGTGTTGAATGCATACATCACAAAGAAGTTTCTGTCAATGCTTCTGTCTAGTTTTTATGTGAAGGTATTCCGTTTCCAACGAAGGCCTCAAAGTGGTACAAATATCGACTTGCAAATTCCACAAAAATAGTGTATCAAAACTGCTCTATGAAAAGGAATGTTCAACTCTGTGAGTTGAAAGCAAGCAGGAAAAACAAGTTTCTGAGAATGCTTCTGTGTAGTTTTTATGTGAAGATATTTCTTTTTCACCATAGGCCTCAAAACACTCCAAACGTCCACTTGCAGATTCTACAAAAATAGTGTTTCAAAACAGCTCTATCAAATGAAAGGTTCAACTGTGTGAGTAGAATGCACGCATCAAAAAGAACTTTCTAAGAATGCTTCTGTCTGGTGTTTATGTGAAGATATCCCGTTTCCAACGAAGGCCGCAAAGTGGTCCAAATATCCACTTGCAAATCCTACAAAAAGAGTGTTTCAAAACTGCTCTATGAAAGGGAATGCTCAACTCTGTGAGTTGAAAGCAAAGAGCACAAAGAAGTTTCTGAGAATGCTTCTGTGCAGTTTTTATGTGAAGATATTTCTTTTTCCCCTTAGGCCTCAAAGCGCTCCAAATGTCCATTTGCAGATTCTACAAAAACAGTGTTTCAAAACGGCTCTATCAAAAGAAAGGTTCAACTTTGTGAGTTGAATACACACATCAAATAGAAGTTTCTGAGAATGCTTCTGTCTGGTGTTTATCTGAAGGTATCCCGTTTCCAACGAAGGCTTCAAAGTGGACCAAATATCCAATTGCAAATTCTACAAAAATAGTATTTCAAAACTGCTCTATGAAAACGAATGTTCAACTCAGTGAGTTGAAAGCAAACATCACAAAGAAGTTTTTCAGAATGCTTCTGTGCAGTTTTTATGTGAAGATATTTCCTTTTTCACCACAGGCCTCAAACGCTCATATGTCCACTTGGAGATTCTACAAAAAGGGTTTTCAAAACTGCTCAATCAAAATAAAAGTTCAACTCCGTGAGTTGAATGCACACTTCACAAAGAAGTTTCTGAGAACACTTCTGTGTAGTTTTTATGTGAAGATATACCCTTTTTCACTGTAGGCCTCAAAGCACTCTAAATGTCCACTAGCAGATTCTACAAAAAGAGAGTTTCAAAACTGCTCTATCAAAAGAAAGATTCAACTCTGTGAGTTGAATACATTAATCACAAAGAAGTTTCTGAGAATGCTTCTGTCTAGTTTTTATGTGAAGATGTTTCCTTTTTCGCCAAAGGCCTCAAAACACTCCAAATGCCCACTTCAGATTCTACAAAAAGAGTGTTTCAAAACGACTCTATCAAAAGAAAGGTTCAACTCTGTGAGTTGAATGCAGACATCACAAAGAAGATTCTGATAATGCTTCTGTCTGCTTTTTATTGACGATATCCCGTTTCCAACTAAGGCCTCAAAGTGGTCCAAATATCCACTTGCAAATTCTACAAAAAGAGTGTTTCAAAACTGCTCTATGAAAAGGAATATTCAACCCTGTGAGTTGAAAGCAAACATCAGAAAGAAGTTTCTGAGAATGCTTCTGTGTAGTTTTTATGTGAAGATGTTTCCTTTTTCACCACAGGCCTCAAAGCTCTCAAATGTCCCCTTGCAGATTCTACAAAAAGAGTGTTTCAAAACTACTGTAAAAAAAAAAAGTTCCACTCTGTTAGTTGGAGGCACACATCACAAAGAAGTTTCTGTGAATGCTTCTGTCTAGTTTTCATGTGAAGTTATCCCGTTACCAATGAAAGCTTCAAAGTGGTCCAAATATTCACATGCAAATTCTACAAAAAGAGTGTTTCAAAACTGCTATAGGATAATTAATGTTCAACTCTGTGAGTTGAAAGCAAACGTCACAAGGAAGTTTCTGCCAACGATTCTGTGTAGTTTTTAAGTGAAGATATTTCCTTTTTCACCATAGACCACAAAGCTCTGAAAGTGTCCACTTGCAGATTCTCTAAAAAGAGTGTTTGAAAACTGCTCTATCACAAGAAAGGTTCAACTCCATGAGTTGAATGAACACATCACATAGAAGTTTCTGAGAATACTTCAGTGTAGTTTTTATGTGAAGATATTACCTTTCTCACCAAAGGACTCAAAGCACTCCAAATGTCCCCTTGCAGATTCTACAAAAAGAGTGTTTCAAAACTACTCTATCAAAAGAAATGTTCATCTCTGTGACTTGAATGTACACATCACAAAGAAGTTTCTGAGAATGCTTCTGTCTGCTTTTTATGTGAAGATATACCGTTTCCAACGAAGGCCTCAAAGTGGTACAAATATCCACTTGCAGATTCTACAAAAAGAGTGTTTCAAAACTGCTCTATGAAAGGAATGTTGAACTCTGTGAGGTGAAAGCAAACATCACAAAGAAGTTTATGAGAATGCTTCTGTGTAGTTTTTATGAGAAGAGATTTTGTTTTTCTCCATTGGCCACAATGCATCTAAATGTCCACTTGCAGATTCTACAAAAAGAGTGTTTCAAATCTGCTCTATCAAAAGAAAGGTTCAACTCTGTGAGTTGAATGCACACATCACAAAGAAGTTTCTTTGAATGCTTCCATCTAGTTTTCATGTGAAGATAGCCCGTTTCGAACGATAGCCTCAAAGTCGCTCAAATGTCCACTTGCAAATTCTACAAAAAAGTGTTTCAAAACTGCTGTAGGAAAGTTAATGTTCAACTCTGTGAGTTGAAAGTCAGCGTCACAAGGAAGTTTCTGAGAATGCTCCTGTGTAGTTTTTAAGTGAAGATATTTCCTTGTAAGAGATTTCGTTTTTCTCCATTGGCCTTAAAGTGCTCCAAATGTCCACGTGGAGATTCTGCAAAAAGGGTATTTCAAAGCTGCTCTATCGAAAGAAACGTTCAATTCTGTGAGTTGAGTGCACACATGACAAAGAAGTTTCTGAGAATGCTTTTATGTGAAGATATCTCGTTTCCAACCAAGGCCTCTAAGCGGTCCAAATATCCACTGGCAAATTCAACAAAAACAGTGTTTAAAAACTGCTCTATGAAAAGGAATTTTCAACTCCGTGAGTTGAAAGCAAACATCACAAAGAAGTTAATGAGAATGCTTCTGTGTAGTTTTAATGTGAAGATATTTCCTTTTTCACTGCAAGCCTCAAAGCGCTCAAATGTCCACTTGCAGATTCTGCAGAAACAGTCGTTCAAAACTGCTCTATCAAAAGAAAGGTTCAACTCTTTGAGTTGAACACATACATTACAAAGAAGTTTCTGTCAATGCCTCTGTATAGTTTTTATATGAAGGTATTCCGATTCCAATGAAGACCCCAAAGTGGCACAAATATCGACTTGCAAATTCCACAAAAAGAGTGTTTCAAAACTGCTTATGAAAAGTACTGTTCAACTCTGTGAGTTGAAAACAAACAGCACAAAGATGTTTCTGGGAATGCTTCTGTGCAGTTTTTATGTGAAGATATTTACTTTTTCACCATAGGCCTCAAAGCACTCCAAATGTCCACTTGCAGATTCTACAAAAAGAGTGTTTCAAAACTGCTCTATCAAAAGAAAATTTCACCTCTGTGAGTTGAATGCACACATCACAAAGAAGTTTCTGAGAATGCTTCTGTCTGCTTTTTATGTGAAGATATCCCATTTCCAATGAAGGTCTCAAAGTGGTCCAAATACCCACTTTCAAATTCTACAAAATGAGTGTTTCAAAACCGCTCTATGAAAAGGAATGTTCAAATCTGTGAGGTGAAAGCAAACATCACAAAGAAGTTTCTGAGAATGCTTCTGTGTAGTTTTTTTTTAAGATGTTTCCTTTTTCACCACAGACCTCAAAGCGCTCAAATGTCCAATTGCAGATTCTACAAAAAGAGTGTTTCAAAACTGCTCTATCAAAAGAAAGGTTCAAATCTGTGAGTTGGATGCAAACATCACAAACAAGTTTCTGTGAATGCTTCTGTCCAGTTTTTATGTGAAGACAGCCTGTTTCCAACGAAAGCCTCAAAGTAGTCCAAATATCCACATGCAAATTCTACAAAAAGAGTGTTTCAAAACTTCTGGAGGAAAATTAATGTTCAACTCTGTGAGGTGAAATCAAACGTGACAAGGAAGTTTCTGAGAATGCTTCTGTGTAATTTTTAAGTGAAGATATTTCCTTTTTCACCGTAGACCGCAAAGCTCTCCAAATGTTCACTTGCAGATGCTACAAAAAGAGTGTTTCAAAACTGCTCTCTCAAAAGAAAGGTTCAACTCTGTCTGTTGAACGCACACATCACAAAGAAGTTTCTGAGAATACTTCTGTGTAGTTTTTATGTGAAGATATTCCCTTTTTCATCATAGGTCTCAAAGCACTCAAAATGTCCACTTGCAGATACTACAAAAAGAGTATTTCAAAACTGCTCTACCAAAAGAAAGACTCAACTGTTTGAGTTGAATCCACTCATCACATAGAAGTTTCTGACAATGTTTCTCTCTAGTTTTTATATGAAGATATTTCCTTTTTCACCAAAGGCCTCAAAGCGCTCCAAATGTCCACTTGCAGATTCTACAAAAAGAGTGATTCAAAACTGGTCTATCAAAAGAAAGGTTTATCTCTGTGAGTTGAATGCACACATCACAAAGAAGTTTCTGTGAATGCTTCTGTGCAGTTTTTATGTGAAGAGATTTCATTTTTCTCCATTGGCAACAAAGCACTGCAAGTGTCCACTTGCAGATTCTACAAAAAGAGTGTTGCAAAACTGCTCTATCAAAAGAAAGGTTCAATTCTGCGAGTTGAACGCATACATCACAAAGGACTCTCTGTCAATGATTCTGTCTAGTTTTTATGTGAAGGTATAGTGTTTCCAATGAAGGCCTCAAAGTGGTACAAATAACGACTTGCAAATTCCACAAAAAGAGTGTTCCCAAACTGCTCTATGAAAAGGAATGTTCAACTCTGTGAGTTGAAAGCAAACTGCACAAAGAAGTTTCTCAGAATGCTTCTGTGCAGTTTTTATGTGAAGATATTTGCTTTTTCACCATAGGCCTCAAAGCGCTCCGAATGTCCACCTGCAGATTTTACAAAAAGATTGTTTCAATATGGCTCTATCAAAAAAAAATGTTCAACTCTGTGAGTTGAATTCACACATGAGAAACAAGTTTATGAGAATTCTTCTGTCTGCCTTTTATGTGAAGATATCCTGTTACCAACGAAGGCCGCAAGGTGGTCCAACTATCCACGTGCAAATTCTTCAAAAAGTGTGTTTCAAAACTGCAGTAGGAAAATTAATGTTCAGCTCTCTGAGTTGAAAGCAAGCATCACAAAGAAGGTACTCAGAATGCTTCTGTGTAGTTTTTATGTGACGATATTTCCTTTTTCACCACAGTCCTCAAAGCACTCAAATGTTCACTTGCAGATTCTACAAAAAGAGTGTTTCAAAACTGCTCTATCAAAAGAAAGTTTCAACTCAGTGAGTGGAATGCACACAACACAAAGAAGTTTCTGAGAATTCTTCTATGTAGTTTTTATGTGAAGATATTCCGTTTTTCACCATAGGTCTCAAAGCACTCTAAATGTCCACTTGCAGATACTACAAAAAGAGTGTTCCAAAACTGCTGTATCAAAAGAAGAAGTTCAACTCTGTTAATTGAGTGCACTCATCACAAATAAGTTTATGAGAATGCTTCTGTCTAGTTTTTATGTGAAGATATTTCCTTTTTCACCAAAGGCCTCAAAGTGCTCCAAATGTCCTCTTGCAGATTCTACAAAAAGATTCTTTCAAAACTGCTCTATCAACAGAAATGTTCATCTCTGTGAGTTGAATGCACACATCACAAAGTAGTTTCTGAGAATGCTTCTGTCTAGTTTTTATGTGAAGATATCTCGTATTGAATGAAGGTCTCTAAGCGGTCCAAATACCTACTTGCAAATTCACCAGAAAGAGTGTTTCATATCTGCTGTATGAAAGGAAAGGTTCAACTCTGTGAGTTGAATGCACACATCACAAAGAAGTTTCTGAGAATGCTTCTGTGTAGTTTTTATGTGAAGAGATTCCCTTTTTCTCCATTGAACTCAAAGCGCTCAAAATGTCCACTTGCAGATTCTACAAAAAGAGTGTTTCAAAACTGCTCTATCAAAAGAAAGGTTCAACTCTGTGAGTTGAACGCATACATCACAAAGAAGTTTCTGTCAATGGTTCTGTCTCGTTTTTATTTGAAGGTATTCCGTTTCCAGCAAAGGCTTGAAAGTGGTAAAAAAATCGACTTGCAAATTCCACAAAAAGTGTTTCAAAACTGTTCTATGAAAAGGAATGTTCAACTCTGTGAGTTGAAAGCAAACAGCACAAAGAAGTTTCTGAGAATTCTTCTGTGCAGTTTTTATGTGAAGATATCTCCTTTTTCATGATAGGCCTCAAAGCGCTCCAAATGTCCACTTGCAGATCCTACAAAAAAAGTGTTTCAAAACTGCTCTATCAAAAGAAAGGTTCAACTCTGTGAGTTGAATGCACACATCACAAATAACTTTCTGTGAATGCTTGTGTCTGGTTTTCATGTGAAGATATCCCGTTTCCAACGAAGACCTCAATGAGCTCCAAATATCCACCAGCAAACACTACAAAAAGAGTGTTTTAAAACTGCTCTATGAAAAGTAATGTTCAACTCTGTGAGTTGAAAGCAAACGTCACAAGGAAGTTTCTGAGAATGCCTCTATGTAGTTTTTAAGTGAAGATATTTCCTTTTTCACCAGAGACCCTTGACTCTCCAAATGTCCACATGCAGATTCTACAAAAAGCGTGGTTCAAAACTGCTCTATCAAAACGAAGGTTCAACTCTGTGTGTTGAATGCACACATCACAAAGGAGTTTCTGAGAATACTTCTGTGTAGTTTTTATATCAAGATATTCCCTTTTTCACCATAGGCCTCAAAGCACTCTAAATGTACACATGCAGATTCTACAAAAGGACTGTTTCAATACTGCTCTATAAATGAAAGATTCAACTCTGTGAGTTGAATGCACTCATCACAAAGAAGTTTCTGAGAATGCTTCTGTCTAGTTTTTATGTGAAGAGATTTCCTTTTTCATCATAGGCTTCAAAGTGCTCCAAATGTCCACATGCAGATTCTACAAAAAGAGTTTTTCCAAACTGCCCTATCAAAAGAAAGGTTCATCTCTGTGAGTTGAATGCACACATCACAAAGAAGTTTCTGAGAATGCTTCTGTCTGGTTTTTAGGTGAAGATATCTTGTTTCCAACGAAGGCCTCTTGGAGGTCCAAATATCCACTTGCAAATTCAACAGAAAGGGTGTTTCAAATCTGCTCTATGAAAAGAAAGTTCAACTCTGTGAGTTGAACGCAAACATCACAAAGAAGTTTCTGAGAATGCTTCTGTGTAGTTTTTATGTGAAGAGATTTCCTTTTTCTCTATTGGCCTCAAAGCGCTCAAAATGT
>NC_000017.11:26640620-26643468 GCF_000001405.40 Homo sapiens | reverse complement strand
GTGAGATATTCCGTTTCCAACGAAGGCCTCAAAGCGGTCAATATAACCACAAGCAAATCCTACAAAAAGAGTGTTTCAAAACTGCTCTATCAAAACAAAGATTCAACTCTCTGAGTTGAATGCACTCATCACAAAGAAGTTTCTGAGAATCCTTCTGTCTAGTTTTTATGTGAAGATATTTTCTTTTTCACCTTAGGACCCAAAGGGCTCCAAAAGTCCACTGGCAGATTCTACAAAAAGAGTGTTTCAAAATTGCTCAATCAAAAGAAAGGTTCATCCCTGTGAGCTGAATGAACACATTACAAAGAAGTTTCTGAGAATGCTTCTGTATAGTTTTGATTTGAAGATATCCCATTTCCAACGAAGGCCTCAAAGTGGTCAATATAACCATATGCAAATTCTACAAAAAGAGTGTTTCAAAACTGCTCTATCAAAAGAAAGATTCAACTCTGTGAGTTGAATGCACTAATCACAAAGAAGTTTCTGAGAATCCTTTTGTCTAGTTTTTATGTGAAGATATTTCCTTTTCCACCATAGGCCCCAAAGCACTCCAAATGTCCACTTGCAGATTCTACAAAAAGAGTGTTTCAAAACTGCTCAATCAAAAAAAAAAGTTCATCTCTGTGAGTCGAATGAACACATTGCAAAGAAGTTTCTGAGAAAGATTCTGTATAGTTTTGATTTGAAGATACCCCGTTTCCAATGAAGGACTCTATGCCGTCCAAGTATCCACTTGCAAATTCAACAGAAAGGATGTTTCAAATCTGCTCTATGAAAAGAAAGGTTCAACTCTGTGAGTTGAATGCCCACTTCCAAAAGAAGTTTCTGAGAATGCCTCTGTCTACTTTTTATGTGAAAAGAATTCGTTTTTCTACACTGGCCCCAAAGTGCTCCATATGTCCACTTGCAGATTCTACAAAGAGTCTTTCAAAACTGCTCTATCAAAAGAAAAGTTAAATTCTGTGAGCTGAATGCATACATCACAAAGAGGTTCCTGTCAATTATTCTGTCTAGTTTTTATGTGAAGGTATTCCGTTTCCAACGAAGGCCCCAAACTGGTAAAAATATCGACTTGCAAATTCCACAAAAAGAGAGTTTCAAAACTGCTCTCTGAAAAGGAATGTTCAAAACTCTGAGTTGAAAGCAAACAGCACATAGAAGTTTCTGAGAATGCTTCTGTGCAGTATTTATGTGAAGATATTTCCTTTTCACCATCACAAAGATGTTTCTGAGAATGCTTCTGTCTGATTTTAATGTGAATATATTCCGTTTCCAACGATGGCCTTAAATTGGTCCAAATATACACTTGCAAATTCGACAAAAAGAGTGTTTGAAAACTGCTCTATGAAAAGGAATGTTCAACTCTGTGAGTTGAAAGCAAAAATGCCAAAGAAGTTTCTGAGAATGCTTCTGTGTAGTTTTTATGTGATGATATTTCCATTTTCACCACAGACCTCCAAACGCTCCAAAAGTCCACTTGCAGATTCTACAAAAAGAGTGTTTCAAAATTGGTCTATCAAAAGAAAGGTTCAAATTTGTGAGTTGGATGCACACATCACAAAGAAGTTTCTGTGAATGCTTTTGTCTAGATTTTATGGGAAGTTATCCCGTTTCCAACGAAGGCCTCATAGCGGTCAATGTAACCACATGCAAATTCTACAACAAGAGTGTTTCAAAACTGCTGTAGGAAAATTACGGTTCAACTCTGTGAGTTGAAAGCAAACGTCATGAGGAAGTTTCTGAGAATGCTTCTGTGCAGTTTTTTTTCAGCCATTTTGTTTTTAAATTTTTTTTATTATACTTTAAGTTTTAGGGTACATGTGCACATTGTGCAGGTTAGTTACATATGTATACATGTGCCATGCTGGTGCGCTGCACCCGCTAACTCGTCATCTAGCATTAAGTATATCTCCCAATGCTATCCCTCCCCCCTCCTCCCACCCCACAACAGTCCCCAGAGTGTGATATTCCCCTTCCTGTGTCCATGTGATCTCATTGTTCAATTCCCACCTATGAGTGAGAATATGCGGTGTTTGGTTTTTTGTTCTTGCGATAGTTTACTGAGAATGATGATTTCCAATTTCATCCATGTCCCTACAAAGGACATGAACTCATTATTTTTTATGGCTGCATAGTATTCCGTGGTGTATATGTGCCACACTTTCTTAATCCAGTCTATCATTGTTGGACATTTGGGTTGGTTCCAAGTCTTTGCTATTGTGAATAATGCCGCAATAAACATACGTGTGCATGTGTCTTTATAGCAGCATGATTTATACTCATTTGGGTATATACCCAGCAATGGGATGGCTGGGTCAAATGGTATTTCCAGTTCTAGATCCCTGAGGAATCGCCTCACTGACTTCCACAATGGTTGAACTAGTTTACAGTCCCACCAACAGTGTAAAAGTCTTCCTATTTCTCCACATCCTCTCCAGCACCTGTTGTTTCCTGACTTTTTAATGATCGCCATTCTAACTGGTGTGAGATGGTATCTCATTGTGGTTTTGATTTGCATTTCTCTGATGGCCAGTGAAGATGAGCATTTTTTCATGTGTTTTTTGGCTGCATAAATGTCTTCTTTTGAGAAGTGTCTGTTCATGTCCTTCACTCACTTTTTGATGGGGTTGTTTGTTTTATTCTTGTAAATTTGTTTGAGTTCATTGTAGATTCTGGATATTAGCCCTTTGTCAGATGAGTAGGTTGCGAAAATTTTCTCCCATTTTGTAGGTTGCCTGTTCACTCTGATGGTAGTTTTTGAGTGAAGATATTGCCTTTTTCATCATAGACCTCAAAGATCTCCAAATGTCCACTTGCAGATTCTACAAAAAGCGTGTTTCAAAACTGT
>NC_000017.11:26638627-26640334 GCF_000001405.40 Homo sapiens | reverse complement strand
AAAAAGAGGGCTTCAAAACTGCTCTATCAAAAGAAAGGTTCAACTCTGTGAGTTGAATGCATACATCACAAAGAAGTTTCTGTCAATGCTTCTGTCTAGTTTTTATATGAAGGTGTTCCGTTTCCAACGAAGGACTCAAAGTGGTTCAAATATCGACATTCAATTTCCACAAAAACAGTGATTCAAAACTGCTCTATGAAAAGGAATATTCAAGCCTGTGAGTTGAAAGCAAACAGCACAAAGAAGTTTCTGAGAATGCTTCTGTACAGTTTTTATGTGAAGATATATCATTTTCACTATAGATGTCAAAGCGCTCCAAATGTCCACCTGCAGATTCTACAAAAATAGTGTTTCAAAATGGCTCTATCAAAACAATGGTTCAACTCTGTCAGTTCAATGAACACATCACAAAGGAGTTTCTGAGAAAGCTTCTGTCTAGCTTTAATTTTTTTTTTTTATTTTTATTTTTTTTTTAATTTTTTTTTTTTTTTATTGATCATTCTTGGGTGTTTCTCGCAGAGGGGGATTTGGCAGGGTCATAGGACAATAGTGGAGGGAAGGTCGGCAGATAAACAAGTGAACAAAGGTCTCTGGTTTTCCTAGGCAGAGGACCCTGCAGCCTTCCGCAGTGTTTGTGTCCCTGGGTACTTGAGATTAGAGAGTGGTGATGATTCTTAACGAGCATGCTGCCTTCAAGCATCTGTTTAACAAAGCACATCTTGCACCGCCCTTAATCCATTTAACCCTGAGTGGACACAGCACATGTTTCAGAGAGCACAGGGTTGGGGGTAAGGTCACCGATCAACAGGATCCCAAGGCAGAAGAATTTATCTTAGTACAGAACAAAATGAAAAGTCTCCCATGTCTACTTCTTTCTACACAGACATGGCAACCATCTGATTTCTCAATCTTTTCCCCACCTTTCCCCCCTTTCTATTCCACAAAACCGCCACTGTCATCCCGGCCCGTTCTCAATGAGCTGTTGGGTACACCTCCCAGACGGGGTGGTGGCCGGGCAGAGGGGCTCCTCACTTCCCAGTAGGGGCGGCGGGGCAGAGGCGCCCCTCACCTCCCGGATGGGGCGGCTGGCCGGGCAGGGGGCTGACCCCCCACCTCCCTCCCGGACGGGGCGGCTGGCCGGGCAGCGGGGCGCCTCACTTCCTAGTAGGGGCGGCCAGGCAGAGGCGCCCCTCACCTCCCGCATGGGGCGGCTGGCCGGGCGGGGGGCTGACCCCCCCACCTCCCTCCCAGACAGGGCGGCTGGCCGGGCGGGGGGCTGACCCCCCCACCTCCCTCCCGGAGGGGGCGGCTGGCCGGGCAGAGGGGTTCCTCACTTCCCAGTAGGGGCGGCCGGGCAGAGGCGCCCCTCACCCCCCGGACGGGGTGGCTGGCCGGGCGGGGGGCTGACCCCCCACCTCCCTCCCGGACGGGGCGGCTGGCCGGGCGGGGGGCTGAGCCCCCTACCTCCCTCCCGGACGGGGTGGCTGGCCCGGCAGAGGGGCTCCTCACTTCCCAGTAGGGGCGGCTGGGCAGAGGCGCCCCTCACCTCCCGGACGGGGCGGCTGGCCGGGCGGGGGGCTGACCCCACCTCCCTCCCGGACGGGGCGGCTGGCCTGGCAGGGGGCTGACCCCCCCACACCTCCCTCCCGGACGTGGGGCTGACCCCCCCACCTCCCTCCCAGACAGGGCGTCTGGCCGGGCGGGGGG
>NC_000017.11:26627349-26638554 GCF_000001405.40 Homo sapiens | reverse complement strand
GACCCCCCCACCTCCCTCCCGGACGGGGCGGCTGGCCGGGCGGGAGGCTGAGCCCCCCACCTCCCTCCCGGACGGGGTGGCTGGCCCGGCAGAGGGGCTCCTCACTTCCCAGTAGGGGCGGCTGGGCAGAGGCGCCCCTCACCTCCCGGACGGGGCGGCTGGCCGGGCGGGGGGCTGATCCCCCCACCTCCCTCCCGGACGGGGCGGCTGCCGGGCGGAGACGCTCCTCACTTCCCAGACGGGGTGGCTGCCGGGCAGAGGGGCTCCTCACTTCTCAGACGGGGCGGCTGGGCAGAGACGCTCCTCACCTCCCATACGGGGTCGCGGCCTGGCAGAGGTGCTCCTCACATCCCAGACGGGGCGGCGGGGCAGAGGCGCTCCCCACATCTCAGACGATGGGCGGCCGGGCAGAGACGCTCCTCACTTCCCAGATGGGATAGCTGCCGGGAAGAGGCGCTCCTCACTTCCTAGATGGGATGGCGGCCGGGCAGAGACGCTCCTCACTTTCCAGACTGGGCAGCCAGGCAGAGGGGCTCCTCACGTCCCAGACGATGGGCGGCCAGGCAGAGACGCTTCTCACTTCCCAGACGGGGTGGCGGCCGGGCAGAGGCTGCAATCTCGGCACTTTGGGAGGCCAAGGCAGGCGGCTGGGAGATGGAGGTTGTAGCGAGCTGAGATCACGCCACTGCACTCCAGCCTGGGCACCATTGGGCACTGAGTGAACCAGCCTCCGTCTGCAATCCCGGCACCTCGGGAGGCTGAGGCTGGCGGATCACTCGCGGTTAGGAGCTGGAGACCAGCCTGGCCAACACAGCGAAACCCCGTCTCCACCAAAAAAGTACGAAAACCAGTCAGGCGTGGTGGCGCGCGCCTGCAATCGCAGGCACTGGGCAGGCTGAGGCAGGAGAGTCAGGCAGGGAGGTTGCAGTGAGCCGAGATGGCAGCAGTACAGTCCAGCTTCGGCTCGGCATCAGAGGGAGACCATGGAAAGAGAGGGAGAGGGAGACCGAGAGGGAGAGGGGAGAGGGGAGAAGGGAGAGGGGAGAGGGGAGAGGGGAGAGGCAAAAGAAACAAATCTTATCAGAGACCGTCTCTGTCCATCCTCATCAGCCTTCCCATCCCCACCCCCTCCATGCACACACCACTCTAACCCCTTCCCTTGCCTTTCCTCTTCTCCCTGTCTAGCTTTAATATGAAGATATTTCCTTTACTTGCACGGACCTCAAAGCGCTGTTAATGTAAAGTTGCACATTCTACAAAAAGAGTCTTTCAAACCTGAACTCTCGAAGGAAGGTTCAACTCTGTGAGTTGAATACAAACCTCACAAAGAAGTTTCTGACAATGCTTCTGTTTAGTTATGTGAGGTTTAACCCGTTTCTGAAGAAATCCTCAAAGAGGTCCAAATATCCACTTGCAGATTCTACAAAAAGTGTGTTTCGAAACTGCTCCATCAAAAGGAATGTTCAGCTCTGTGAGTTTAACTCAATCAAAACAAAGAAGTTTCTGAAAATGCTTCTGGCTGGCTTTAATATGAAGTTATTTCCTTTACTACAGTAGGCTTCAAAGCGGTCCATATCTCTACCTTCAGAATCTACAAAAAGAGGGTTTCAAAACTGCTCTATCAATAGGAATGTTCAACTCTGTGAGTTGAATGTACTCATCACAAAGAAGTTTCTGAGAATGCTTCTTTCTAGTTTATATGTGAAGATATTTCCTTTTCCACCACAGACCTCAAAGCCCTCCAAATGTCCACTTGCAGATTCTAGAAAAAGAGTGTTTCAAAACCGCTCTACCAAAAGGAATGTTCAACTCTGTGAGTTGAATGCACTCATCACAAACAAGTTGCTGAGAATGCTTCTCTCTACTATTTATGTGAAGATATTTCCTTTTCCACAACAGGCTTCAAAGCGCTCCAAATGTCTGCTTGCAGATTCTACGGAAAGAATGTTTCAAAACTGCTCTATGAAAAGCAATGTTAAAATCAGTGAGATGAATACAAACATCACAAAGAAGTTTCTGAGAATGCTTCTCTCTAGTTTATATGTGAAGATGTTTCCTTTTCCACCACAGGCCTCAAAGCCCTCCAAATGTCCACTTGCATGTTCTAGAAAAAGAGTGTTTCAAAACTGCTCTATGAAAAGCAATAAAGAACGCCAAATATCCCCTTGCAGATCCTACCTAAAGAGTGTTTCCAAACTGCTGTTTCAAAAGGAATCTGCAACTCTGTGAGTTGAATGCAATCATCACAAAGTTTCTGACAGTGCTTCTCTCTAGTTTTTATGTGAAGATATTTCCTTTTCCACCGCAGGCTTCAAACCACTCCAAATGTCTACGTGCAGATTCTACGGAAAGAATGTTTCAAAACTGCTCTATGAAAAGCAATGTTAAAATCTGTGAGTTGAATACAAGCATCACAAAGAAGTTTCTGAGAATGCTTCTGTTCAGTTTTTAAGTGAAGATATTCCAGTTTCCAACGAAATCTTCAAAGGTGTCCAAATATCCACTTGCAGATTCTACAAAAAGAGTGTTTCAAAACTGCTCTTGTTAAGGGAACGTACAGCTCTATTCATCGAATGTAAACATCACTACGAAGTTTCTGAGAATGCTTCTCTCTAGGTTTTAGGTGAAGATATTTCCTTTTCCACCACAGGCACACCAACAATCCACTTGCAGATTCTAGAAAAAGAGTGTTTCAAAACTGCTCTATCAGAAGGAATGTTGAATGCTGTGAGTTGAAGTCAAATATCACAAAGAAGTTTCTGAGAATGCTTCTGTTTAGTTTTTAGTGAAGATTATCCCGTTTCCAACGAAGTCTTCAAAGAGCTCCAAATATTCACTTGCAGATTCTACAGAAAGATTGTTTCCAAACTGCTGTTTAAAAAGCACTCTACAACTCTGTGAGTTGAACTCAATCATCACGAAGAAGTTTCTGACAATGCTTCTCTCTAGTTTTAATGTGTAGATATTTCCTTTTCCAATGCAGGACACAAAGCGCTCCTAATGTCTACTTGCAGATTCTACAAAAAGAGAGTTTCAAAACTGCTCTATCACAGGAAAGGTTCAACTTTGTGAGTTGCATACCCACATCACAAAGAAGTTTCTGAGAAAGCTTCTGCCTAGTTTTATATGAAGATATTTCCTTCACTTACACGGACCTCAAATTGCTGCCAATGTCCAGTTGCAGATTCTACAAAAAGAGTGTTTCAAATCTGAACTATCGGAGGAAGTTTCAACTCTGTGAGTTGAAAGCAAATCTCCCAAAGAAGTTCCTGAGAATGCTTCTCTCTAGATTTTAAGTGAAGATATTTCCTTTCCCACCACAGGCCTCAAAGCACACCAAATGTCCACTTGCAGATTCTAGAAAAAGGGTGTTTCAAAACTGCTCTATCAAAAGGAATGTTCCATTCTGTGAGTTGAAGACCAACATCACAAAGAACTTTCTGAGAATGCCTCTGTTTATTTCTGTGAATTTTAACCTGTTTCCAATGAAATCCTCAAAGAGTTCCAAATATCCACTTACAGATTCTACAAAAAGTGTGTTTCGAAACTGCTGCATCAAAAGGAATGTTCAGCTCTGTGTCTTGAAGTCAATCATGACAAAGAAGTTTCTGAGCTGTATTTTATATGAAGTTATTTCCTTTACTAGCATAGGCTTCAAAGCCGTCCATATTTCCATATGCAGACTGTACAAATAGAGGGTTTCAAACCTGCTCTATCAAAAGGAATGTTCAACTCTCTGAGTTGAATGATATCATCTCAAAGTAGTTTCTGAGAATGCTTTTATGTAGTATTCATGTGAAGACATTTCATTTCCCACCGCAGGCCTCAAAGCCCTCCAAATGTCCACTTGCACATCCTAGAAAAAGGGTGTTTCCAAACTGCTGTTTCAAAATGAATCTTCAACTCTGTGGGTTGAATGCAATCATCACGAAGAAGTTTCTGACAGTGCTTCCCTCTAGTTTTTATGTGAAGATATTTCCTTTTCCACCGCAGGCTTCAAAGTGCTCCAAATGTCTACGTGCAAATTCTACGGAAAGAATGTTTCAAAACTGCTCTATGAAAAGCAATGTTAAAATCTGTGAGTTGAATACAAACATCACAAAGAAGTTTCTGAGAATGCTTCTCTTCAGTTTTTAAGTGAAGATATTCCCGTTTCCAAAGAAATCTTCAAAGATGTCCAAATATCCTCTTGCAGATTCTACAAAAAGAGTGTTTCAAAACTGCTCTTGTTAAGGGAACGTTCAACTCTATGAGTCGACTGTAAACATCACTACGAAGTTTCTGAGAATGCTTCTCTCTAGATTTTAGGTGAAGATATTTCCATTTCCAGCAGAGTCCTCAAGGCACAGCCAATGTCCACTTGCAGATTCTAGAAAAAGAGTGTTTCAAAACTGCTCTATCAAAAGGAATGTTGAACTCTGTGAGTTGAAGGCAAACATCTCAAAGAAGCTACTGACAATGCTTCTGTTTTGTTTTTAGTGAAGATTATCCCGTTTCCAATGAAATATTCAAAGAGCTCCAAATATCCACTTGCAGATTCTACAGAAGAGTGTTTCCAAACTGCTGTTTAAAAAGGACTCTTCAACTCTGAGAGTTGAACTCAATCATCATGAAGAAGTTTCTGACAATGCTTCTCTCTAGTTTTAATGTGTAGATATTTTCTTTTCCATGGCAGGTCTCTAAGTGCTCAAAATGTCTACTTGTAGATTCTACAAAAAGAGAGTTTCAAACTGCTCTATCAAAGGAAAGGTTCAACTTTGTGAGTTGCATACCCACATCACAAAGAAGTTTCTGAGAAAGCTTCTTCCAAGTTTTTATATGAAGATAGTTCCTTTACTAGCACTGACCTCAAATTGCTGCCAATGTCCAGTTGCAGATTCTACAAAAAGAGTGTTTCAAATCTGAACTATCAAAGGAAGTTTTAACTCTGTGAGTTGAATGCAAATCTCCAAAAGAGGTTTCTGAGAATGCTTCTCTCTAGATGTTAAGTGAAGTTATTTCCTTTCCCAACACAGGCCTCAAAGCACACCAAATGTCCACTTGCAGATACTAGAAAAAGAGTGTTTCAAAACTGCCCTATCAAAAGGAATGTTCCACTCTGTGAGTTGAAGGCCAACATCACAAAGAACTTTCTGAGAATGCTTCTGTTTTGTTCTGTGAATTTTAACCCGTTTCCAAAGAAATCCTCAAGGAGTTCCAAATATCCACTTGCAGATTCTACGAAAAGTGTATTTTGAAACTGCTGCATCAAAAGGAATGTTCAACTCTGTGTTTTGAAGTCAATCATGACAAAGAAGTTTCTGAGAATGCTTCTGGCTTTTTTTTTATATGAAGTTATTTCCTTTCCTACCAAAGGATTCAAAGCGGTCCATATTTACATTTGCAGACTCTACAAAAAGAGGGTTTCAAAACTGCTCTATCAAAAGAATTGTTCAGCTCCCTGAGTTGAATGACATCATTACAAAGTAGTTTCTGAGAATGCTTTTATGTAGTATTTATATGAAGATATTTCGTTTTCCACCGCAGGCCTCGAAGCCCTCCAAATGTCCACTTTCAGATCCTAGAAAAAGAGTGTTTCCAAACTGCTGTTTTGAAAGGAATCTTCAACTCTGTGAGTTGAATGCAATCATCACGAAGAAGTTTCTGACAGTGCTTCCCTCTAGTTTTCATGTGAAGATATTTCCTTTTCCACCGCAGGCTTCAAAGCGCTCCAAATTTCGACGTGCAGATACTACGGAAAGGATGTTTCAAAACTACTCTACGAAAAGCAATGTTAAAATCTCTGAGTTGAATACAAACATCACAAAGAAGTTTCTGAGATTGCTTCTGTTTAGTTTTTAAGTGAAGATAATCCCGTTTCCAACGAAATCTTCAAAGGTGTCCAAATATCCACTTGCAGATTCCACAAAAAGAGTGTTTCAAAACTCCTCGTGTTAAGGGAGCGTTCAACTCTATGCGTCGACTGTCAACATCACTACGAAGTTTCTGAGACTGTTTCTCTCTAGTTTTTAGGTGAAGATATTTCCTTTTCCATCACAGGCACACCAAAAATCCACTTGCAGATTCTAGAAAGGAGTGTTTCAAAACTGCTCTATCAATAGGAATGTTGAACTCTGTGAGTTGAAGGAAAACATCACAAAGAAGTTTCTGAGAATGCTTCTGTTTAGTTTTTAGTGACGATTATCCCATTTCCAACGAAATCTTCAAAGAGCTCCCAATATCCACTTGCAGATTCTACAGAAAGTGTTTGCAAACTGCAAACACTGTGACTCTTCAACTCTGTGTCTTGAACTCAATCATCACGAAGAAGTTTCTGACAATGCTTCTCTCTACTTTTAATGTGTAGATATTTCTTTTTACACCACAGGACTCAAAGCGCTCCTAATGTCTACTTGCAGATTCTACAAAAAGAGAGTTTCAAAACTGCTCTATCAGAGGAAAGGTACAACATTGTGAGCTGCATACCCACATCACAAAGATGGTTCTGAGAAAGCTTCTGACTAGTTTTTATATGAAGATAGTTCCTTTACTTGCACGGACCTCAAAATGCTGCGAATGTCCAGTTGCAGATCCTACAAAAAGACTGCTTCAAATCTAAAATATTGAAGGAAGTTTCATATCTGTGAGTTGAAAGCAAATCTCCCAAAGAAGTTTCTGAGAACGCTTCTCTCTAGATTTTAAGTGAAGACATTTCCTTTCCCACCACAGGCCTCAAAGCACACAAAATGTCCACTTGCAGATTCTACAAAAAGAGTGTTTCAAAACTACTCTATCAAAAGGAATGTTCCACTCTGTGAGTTGAAGGCCAACATCACAAAGAAATTTCTGAGAATGCTGCTGTTTAGTTCTGTGAATTTTAACCCGTTTCCAAAAAAATACTCAGAGTTCCAAATATCCACTTGCAGATTCTACAAAAAGTGTGTTTCGAAACTACTCCATCCAAAGGAATGTTCAGCTCTGTGAGATAAACTCAGTCGTCACAAAGAGTTTTGTGAGAATGCTACTGTCTAGTTTTTATATGAAGTTATTTCCTTTACTGCCATAGGCCTCAAAGCGGTCCATATCTCCACTTGCAGATTCTACAAAAAGAGAGTTTCCAAACTGCTCTGTCAAAGAGAATGTTCAAATCCATGACTTGAATGCAATCATCACAAAGTAGTTTCTGAGAATGCTTCTCTCTAGTTTTTACGGGAAGATATTTCCTTTTCCAACACAGGCCTCAAAGCCCTCCAAATGTCCACTTGCAGATTCTAGAAAAAGAGTGTTTCAAAGCTTCTCTCTCAAAAGGAAAGTTCAACTCTATGAGTTCAATGCAAACATCACGAATAAGTTTCTGAGAATGCTTCTGTTTAGCTTTTCTGGGAAGATTATCATGTTTCCAACGAAATCTTCAAAGACGTCCAAATATCCTCTTCCACATTCCACAGAAAGAGTGTTTGCAAACGGCTGCTTGAAAAGGAACCTTCAACTCTTTGAGTTGAATGCAATCATCACAAAGAAATTTCTGACAATTCTTCTCTCTAGTTCTTATGTGACGATAATTTCTTTTCCACCACAGGCCTGAAAGCTCTCCAAATGTCCACTTGTAGACACTGCGAAAAGAATGTTTCAGAACTGCTCTATGAAAAGCAACGTGAAACACTGTGAGTTGAACACAAACATCACAGAGAAGTTTCTGAGAATGCTTCTGTTTAGTATTCATATAAAGATATTCCCGTTTCCACGGAAATATTCAAAGAAGTCCACATATCCACTTGCAGATTCCACAAAAAGAGAGATTCAAAACTGCTTTATCCATAGGAGCGTTCAACTCTGTGAGTTGAACGCAATCACCACAGAGAAGTTTCTGAGAAGGCTTCTGTCTAGATGTTATGTGAAGTTGTACCCGTTTCCAACGAAGGCCACAGAGTGGTCCAAATATCCACTTGCAGATCCTACAAAAAGAGTGATTCAAACCTGAACTATCAAAGGAAGGTCTAACTCTGGGATCTGAATGCAAACATCACAAAGAAGTTTCTGAGAATGCTTCTGTTTAGTTAGGTGCAGTTATCCCGTTTCCAACGAAATCCTCAGAGAGGTCCAAATATCCACTTGCAGATTCTACAAAAAGTGTGTTTCAAACCTGCTCCATCCAAAGGAATGTTCAGCTCTGTGAGTTAAACTCAATCATCACAAAGTATTTTCTGAGAATGCTTCTGCCTAGTTTTTATATGAAGCTATTCCCTTTAGTACCATAGGCCTCAAAGTGCTCCAAATCTCCACTTGCAGATTTTCCAACAAGAGTGTTTCCAAACTGCTCTCTCAATAGGAATGTTCAACTCTGTGAGGTGAATGCAATCATCACAAAGTAGTTTCTGAGAATGCTTCCATCTAGTATTTATGTGAAGATATTTCCTTTTCCACCACAAACCTCAAAGCCCTCCAAATGTCCACTTGCAGATTCTAGAAAAAGAGTGTTTCATAGCTGCTCTTTCCGAAGTAAAGTTCAACTGTGGAAGTTGAATACAAACATCACCAAGGAGTTCCTGAGAATGCTTCTGTGTAATTTTTATGTGAAGATGATTCCGTTTCCAAACGAAACCTTCAAAGAGGTCTACATGTCCCCTTGCAGATTCCACAGAAAGAGAGTTTCAAAACTGCGCTCTCAAAAGGAGTGTACAACTCTGTGAGTGGAATGCAGTCATCACAGAAAAGTTTCTGAGAATGCTTCTGTCTAGATGTTATGTGAAGATATACCCGTTTCGAACGAAGACCACAGAGTGGTCCCAAAATAAATTGGTAGATCCTGCAAAAAGAGGGTTTCAAACCTGAACTTTCAAAGGAAGGTTCAACTCTGGGATTTGAATGCAAACATCACAAAGAAGATTCTGAGATTGCTTCTGTTTAGTTAGCTGAAATTATCTGGTTTCCAACGAATTCAGCAGAGAGGTCCAAATATCCACTTGCAGATTCTACAGAAAGTGTGTTGAGAAACTACTCCTTCCCAAGGAAAGTACAGCTCTGTGAGTTCAACTCAGTCATCCCAGAGAATTTTCTGAGAAAGCTTCTGTCTTGTTTTTATATGAAGTTATTTCCTTTACTATGATAGGCCTCAAAGAAGTACAATTATCCACCTGCAGTTTCTACAAAAAGAGTGTTTCAAACCTGAACTATCAAAGAAAGGTTCAACACTGTGAGTTGAATGCAAACATCACGAAGAAGGTTCTGAGAATGCTTCTGTTTAGCTTTTCTGTGAAGATTATCCCGTTTCCAACGAAATCTTCAAAGAGGTCCAAATATCCTCTTCCAGATTCCACAGAAAGAGTGTTTGGAAACTGATGTTTGAAAAGGAACCTTCAACTCTGTGAGTTGAATGCAATCATCACAAACAAGTTTCCGACAATGCTTCTCTCTAGTTTTTATGTGATGATAATTCGTTTTCCACCACTGGCCTGAAAGCTCTCCAAATGTCCACTTGCAGACACTACGAAAAGCATGTTTCAGAACTGCTCTATGAAAAGCAATGTGAAACTCTGTGAGTTGAACACAAACATCACAGAGAAGTTTCTGAGATTGCTTCTGTTTAGTTTTTATGTGAAGATATTCCCGTTTCCAAAGGCATCTTCAAAGAGGTCCATATATCCACTTGCAGATTCCACAAAAAGAGAGATTCAAAACTGCTTTATCCATAGGAGGGTTCAACTCTGTGAGTTGATTGCAATCATCACAGAGAAGTTTCTGAGAAGGCTTCTGTCTAGATTTTATGTGACGATGTACCCGTTTCGAATGAAGGACACAGAGTGGTCCAAATATCCACTTGCAGATCCTGCAAAAACAGGGATTGAAACCTGAACTTTCAAAGGAAAGTTCAACTCTGGGATTTCAATGCAAACATCACAAAGAAGATTCTGAGATTCCTTCTGTGTAGTTAGCTGAAATTATCCCATTTACATCGAATTCCTCAGACAGGTCCAAATATCCCATTGCAGATTCTACAGAAAGTGTGTTTCGAAACTACTCCATCCCAAGGAAAGTACAGCTCTGTGAGTTCAACTCAATCATCCCAGAGGATTTTCTGAGAAAGCTTCTGTCTTGTTTTTATATGAAGTTATTTCCTTTACTAGGATAGGCCTCAAAGAAGTGCAATTATCCACTTGCAGTTTCTACAAAAAGAGTGTTTGAAACCTGAACTATCAAAGAAAGGTTCAACACTGTGAGTTGAATGCAAACATCAAGAAGAAGTTTCTGAGAATGCTTCTGTTTAGTTAGGTGCAGTTTTCCCGTTTCCAACGAAATCCTCAGAGAGGTCCAAATATCCACTTGCAGATTCTACAAATAGTTTGTTTCGAAACTGCTCCATCCAAGGCAATGTTTAGCCCTGTGAGTTAAACTCAGTCGTCACAAAGAGTTTTCTGAGAATGCTACTGTCTAGTTTTTATATGAAGCTATTTCCTTTACTACCATAGGCCTCAAAGCGGTCCATATCTCAACTTGCAGACGCTACACAACGAGAGTTTCCAAAGTGCTCTGTCAAAGGGAATGTTCAACTCTGTGAGGTGAATGCAATCATCACAAAGTAGTTTCTGAGAATGCTTCTATCTACTATTTATGTGAAGATATTTCTTTTTCCACCACAAACCTCAAAGCCCTCCAAATATCCACTTGCAGATTCTAGAAAAAGAGTGTTTCATAGCTGTTTTTTCCGAAAGAAAGTTCAACTCTGGAAGTTGAATACAAACATCACCAAGGAGATCCTGAGCATGCTTCTGTGTAATTTTTATGTGAAGATGATTCTGTTTCCAACAAAACCTTCAAAGAGGTCTACATGTCCCCTTGCAGATTCCACACAAAGAGAGTTTCAAAACTGCGCTCTCAAAAGGAGTCTTCAACTCCGTGAGTTGAATGCAGTCATCACAGAAAAGTTTCTGAGAATGCTTCTGTCTAGATGTTATGTGAAGATATACCCGTTTCGAACGAAGGCCACAGAGTGGTCCAAATATCCACTTGTAGATACTGCAAAAAGAGAGTTTCAAACCTGAACTTTCAAAGGAAGGTTCAATTCTGGGATTCGAATGCAAACATCACAAAGAAGATTCGGAGATTGCTTCTGTTTAGTTAGCTGAAGTTATCCCGTTTCCAACGAATTCCTCAGACAGGTCCAAATATCCACTTGCAGATTCTACAGAAAGTGTGTTTCGAAACTACTCCATCCCAAGGAAAGTACAG
>NC_000017.11:26616264-26627010 GCF_000001405.40 Homo sapiens | reverse complement strand
ATCACAAACAAGTTTCTGACAATGCTTCTCTCCAGTTTTTATGTGACGATAATTCGTTTTCCACCACAGGCCTGAAAGCTCTCCAAATGTCCACTGCAGATATTCCGGAAAAGCATGTTTCAGAACTGCTCTATGAAAAGCAATGTGAAACTCTGTGAGTTGAACGCAAACATCACAGAGAAGTTTCTGAGAATGCTTCTGTTTAGTTTTTATGTGAAGATATTCCCGTTTCCAAAGACATCTTCAAAGAGGTTCACATATCCACTTGCAGATTCCCCAAAAAGAGAGATTCAAAACTGCTTTATCCATAGGAGCGTTCAACTCTGTGAGTTGAACGCAATCACAACAGAGAAGTTTCTGAGAAGGCTTCTGTCTAAATGTTATGTGAAGTTGTACCCGTTTCCAACGAAGGCCACAGAGTGGTCCAAATATCCACTTGCAGATCCTACAAAAAGAGTGATTCAAACCTGAACTATCAAAGGAAGGTCTAACACTGGGATCTGAATGCAAACATCACAAAGAAGTTTCTGAGAATGCTTCTGTTTAGTTAGGTGCAGTTATCCCGTTTCCAACGAAATCCTCAGAGAGGTCCAAATATCCACTTGCAGATTCTACAAAAAGTGTGTTTCAAACCTGCTCCATCCAAAGGAATGTTCAGCTCTGTCAGTTAAACTCAATCATCACAAAGTATTTTCTGAGAATGCTTCTGTCTAGTTTTTATATGAAGCTATTCCCTTTACTACCATTGGCCTCAAAGCGCGCCAAATCTCCCCTTGCAAATTCTACAACAAGAAAGTTTCCAAACTGCTCTATCAATAGGAATGTTCAACTCTGTGAGGTGAATGCAATCATCACAAAGTAGTTTCTGAGAATGCTTCTATCTAATATTTATGTGAAGATATTACCTTTTCCACCACAGACCTCAAAGCCCTCCTCATGTCCACTTGCAGATTCTAGAAAAAGAGTGTTTCATAGCTGCTCTTTCCGAAGGAAAGTTCAACTCTGGAAGTTGAATACAAACAACATCAAGGAGTTCCTGAGAACGCTTCTGTGTAATTTTTATGTGAAGATGATTCTGTTTCCAACAAAACCTTCAAAGAGGTCTACATGTCCCCTTGCAGATTCCACAGAAAGAGAGTTTCAAAACTGCGCTCTCAAAAGGAGTCTTCAACTCTGTGAGTTGAATGCAGTCATCACAGAAAAGTTTCTGAGAATGCTTCTGTCTAGATGTTATGTGAAGATATACCCGTTTCGAACGAAGGCCACAGAGTGGTCCAAATATCCACTTGTAGATCCTGCAAAAAGAGGGTTTCAAACCTGAACTTTCAAACGAAGGTTCAACTCTGGGATTCGAATGCAAACATCACAAAGAAGATTCTGAGACTGCTTCTGTTTAGTTAGCTGAAATTATCCCGTTTCCAACGTATTCCTCAGACAGGTCCAAATATCCACTTGCAGATTCTACAGAAAGTGTGTTTCGAAACTACTCCATCCCAAGGAAAGTACAGCTCTGTGAGTTCAACTCAATCATCCCAGAGGATTTTCTGAGAAAGCTTCTGTCTTGTTTTTATATGAAGTTATTTCCTTTACTAGGATAGGCCTCAAAGAAGTGCAATTATCCACTTGCAGTTTCTACAAAAAGAGTGTTTCAAAACCCGAAGTATCAAGGAAAGGTTCAACGCTGTGAGTTGAACGCAAACATCACGAAGAATGTTCTGAGAATGCTTCTGTTTATTTCTGTGCGGTTTATCCCGTTTCCAGCGAAATCCTCAGAGAGGCCCAAATATCCACTGGCAGATTCTACAAGTAGTGTGTTTCGAAACTGCTCCATCCAAAGGAATGTTCAGCCCTGTGAGTTAAACTCAGTCGTCACAAAGAGTTTTCTGAGAATGCTACTGTCTAGTTTTTATATGAAGCTATTTCCTTTACTACCATAGGCCTCAAAGCGGTCCATATCTCCACTTGCAGATTCTACACAACCAGAGTTTCCAAAGTGTTCTGTCAAAGGGAATGTTCAACTCTGTGACTTGAATGCAATCATCACCAAGTAGTTTCTGAGAATGCTTCTATCTAGTTTTTACGGGAAGTTAATTCCTTTTCCACCACAGGCCTCAAAGCCCTCCAAATATCCACTTGCAGATTCTAGAGAAAGAGTGTTTCAAAGCTTCTCTCTCAAAAGGAAAGTTCAACTCTGTGAGTAGAATGCAAACATCACAAAGAAGTTTCTGACAATGTTTCTGTTTAGCTTTTCTGTGAAGATTATCCCGTTTCCAAAGACATCTTCAAAGAGGTCCAACTATCCAATTGCAGATTCCACAGAAAGTGTGTTTGGAAACTGCTGTTTGAAAGGGAACCTTCAACTCTGTGAGTTGAATGCAATCATCACAAACAAGTTTCTGACAATGCTACTCTCTAGTTTTTATGTGACGATAATTCATTTTCCACCACAGGCCTGAAAGCTCTCCAAATGTCCACTTGCAGATATTCCGAAAAGCATGTTTCAGAACTGCTCTATGAAAAGCAATGTGAAACTCTGTGAGTTGAACGCAAACATCACAGAGAAGTTTCTGAGAATGCTTCTGTTTAGTTTTTATGTGAAGATATTCCCGTTTCCAAAGACATCTTCAAAGAGGTTCACATATCCACTTGCAGATTCCACAAAAAGAGAGATTCAAAACTGCTTTATCCATAGGAGCGTTCAACTCTGTGAGTTGAACGCAATCACCACAGAGAAGTTTCTGAGAAGGCTTCTGTCTAGATGTTATGTGAAGTTGTACCCGTTTCCAACGAAGGCCACAGAGTGGTCCAAATATCCACTTGCAGATCCTACAAAAAGAGTGATTCAAACCTGAACTATCAAAGGAAGGTCTAACTCTGGGATCTGAATGCAAACATCACAAAGAAGTTTCTGAGAATGCTTCTGTTTAGTTAGGTGCAGTTATCCCGTTTCCAACGAAATCCTCAGAGAGGTCCAAATATCCACTGCAGATCTACAAAAAGTGTGTTTCAAACCTGCTCCATCCAAAGGAATGTTCAGCTCTGTCAGTTAAACTCAATCATCACAAAGTATTTTCTGAGAATGCTTCTGCCTAGTTTTATATGAAGCTATTCCCTTTAGTACCATAGCCTCAAAGCGCTCCAATCTCCACTTGCAGATTCTCCAACAAGAGTGTTTCCAAACTGCTCTCTCAATAGGAATGTTCAACTCTGTGAGGTGAATGCAATCATCACAAAGTAGTTTCTGAGAATGCTTCCATCTAGTATTTATGTGAAGATATTTCCTTTTCCACCACAAACCTCAAAGCCCTCCAAATATCCACTTGCAGATTCTCGAAAAAGAGTGTTTCATAGCTGCTCTCTCCGAAGGAAAGTTCAACTCTGGAAGTTGAATACAATCAGCACCAAGGGGTTCCTGAGAATGCTTCCGTGTAATTTTTTTGTGAAGATGATTCTGTTTCCAACGAAACCTTCAAAGAGGTCTACATGTCCCCTTGCAGATTCCACAGAAAGAGAGTTTCAAAACTGCGCTCTCAAAAGGAGTGTTCAACTCTGTGAGTTGAATGCAGTCATCACAGAAAAGTTTCTGAGAATGCTTCGGTCTAGACGTTATGTGAAGATATACCCGTTTCGAACGAAGGCCACAGAGTGGTCCAAATATCCACTTGTAGATCCTGCAAAAAGAGGGTTTCAAACCTGAACTTTCCAAGGAAGGTGCAATTCTGGGATTTGAATGCAAACATCACAAAGAAAATTCAGAGACTGCTTCTGTTTAGTTAGCTGAAATTATCCCGTTTCCAACGAATTCCTCAGACAGGTCCAAATATCCACTTGCAGATTCTACAGAAAGTGTGTTTCGAAACTACTCCATCCCAAGGAAAGTACAGCTCTGTGAGTTCAACTCAATCATCCCAGAGGATTTTCTGAGAAAGCTTCTGTCTTGTTTTTATATGAAGATATTTCCTTTACTACGATAGGCCTCAAAGAAGTGCAATTATCCACTTGCAGTTTCTACAAAAAGAGTGTTTCAAACCTGAACTATCAAAGAAAGGTTCAACACTGTGAGTTGAATGCAAACCTCACGAAGAAGGTTCTGAGAATGCTTCTGTATAGTTCTTTGCAGTTTATCCCGTTTCCAACGAAATCCTCAGAGATGCCCAAATATCCACTTGCAGATTCTACAAAGAGTGTGTTTCGAAAATGCTCCATCCAAAGGAATCTTCAGCCCTGTCAGTTAAACTCAGTCGTCACAAACAGTTTTCTGAGAATGCTACTGTCTAGTTTTTCTATGAAGCTATTTCCTTTACTACCATAGGCCTCAAAGCGGTCCATATCTCCACTTGCAGATTCTACACAACGAGAGTTTCCAAAGTGCTCTGTCAAAGGGAATATTCAACTCTGTGACTTGAATGCAATCATCACAAAGTAGTTTCTGAGAATGCTTCTATCTAGTTTTTACTGGAAGAGAATTCCCTTTCCACCACAGGCCTCAAAGCCCTCCAAATATCCACTTGCAGATTCTAGAGAAAGAGTGTTTCAAAGCTTGTCTCTCAAAAGGAATGTTCAACTCTGTGAGTTGAATGCAAACATCACAAAGGAGTTTCTGAGAATGCTTCTGTTTAGCTTTTCTGTGAAGATTATCCCGTTTCCAACGATATCTTCAAAGAGGTCCAAATATCCACTTGCAGATTCCACAGAAGGCGTGCTTGGAAATTGCTGGTTGAAAAGGAACCTTCAACTCTGTGAGTTGAATGCAACCATCACAAACAAGTTCCTGACAATGCTTCTCTCTAGTGTCTATGTGACGATAATTCATTTTCCAACACAGGCCTGAAAGCTCTCCAAATGTCCACTTGCAGACAGTCCGAAAAGCATGTTTCAGAACTGCTCTATGAAAAGCAATGTGAAACTGTGTGAGTTGAACGCAAACATGAGAGAGAAGTTTCTGAGAATGCTTCTGTTTAATTTTTATGTGAAGATATTCCCGTTTCCAAAGACATCTTCAAAGAGGTCCACATATCCACTTGCAGATTCCACAAAAAGAGAGATTCAGAACTGCTATATCCATAGGAGGGTTCAACTCTGTGAGTTGAATGCAATCATCACAGAGAAGTTTCTGAGAAGGCTTCTGTCTAGATGTAATGTGAAGATGTACCCGTTTCCAACGAAGGCCACAGAGTGGTCCAAATATCCACTTGCAGATCGTAAAAAAAGAGTGTTTCAAACCTGACCTATCAAAGGAAGGATCAACTCTGGGATTTGAATGCAAACATCACAAAGAAGTTTCTGAGAATGCTTCTGTTTAGTTAGGTGCAGTTATCCCGTTTCCAACGAAATCCTCAGAGAGGTCCAAATATCCACTTGCAGATTCTACAAAAAGTGTGATTCAAACCTGCTCCATCCAAAGGAATGTTCAGCTCTGTGAGTTAAACTCAATCATCAAAAAGTATTTTCTGAGAATGTTTCTGTCTAGTTTTTATATGAAGCTATTCCCTTTAGTACCATAGGCCTCAAAGCGCTCCAAATCTCCACTTGCAGATTCTCCAACAAGAGTGTTTCCAAACTGCTCTCTAAATAGGAATGTTCAACTCTGTGAGGTGAATGCAATCATCAGAAAGTAGTTTCTGAGAATGCTCCCATCTAGTGTTTATGTGAAGATATTTCCTTTTCCACCACAAACCTCAAAGCCCTCCAAATATCCACTTGCAGATTCTAGAAAATGAGTGATTCGTAGCTGCTCTCTCCGAAGGAAAGTTCAACTCTGGAAGTTGAATACAATCAGCACCAAGGGGTTCCTGAGAATGCTTCCGTGTAATTTTTTTGTGAAGATGATTCTGTTTCCAACGAAACCTTCAAAGAGGTCTACATGTCCCCTTGCAGATTCCACAGAAAGAGAGTTTCAAAACTGCGCTCTCAAAAGGAGTGTTCAACTCTGTGAGTTGAATGCAGTCATCACAGAAAAGTTTCTGAGAATGCTTCTGTCTAGACGTTATGTGAAGATATACCCGTTTCGAACGAAGGCCACAGAGTGGTCCAAATATCCACTTGTAGATCCTGCAAAATGAGGGTTTCAAACCTGAACTTTCCAAGGAAGGTGCAATTCTGGGATTTGAATGCAAACATCACAAAGAAAATTCAGAGAGTGCTTCTGTTTAGTTAGCTGAAATTATCCCGTTACCAACAAATTCCTCAGACAGGTCCAAATATCCACTTGCAGATTCTACTGAAAGTGTGTTTCGAAACAACTCCATCCCAAGGAAAGTACAGCTCTGTGAGTTCAACTCAATCATCCCACAGGATTTTCTGAGAAAGCTTCTGTCTTGATTTTATATGAAGAAGGTATTTCCTTTAGTAGGATAGGCCTCAAAGAAGTGCAATTATCCACTTGCAGTTTCTACAAAAAGAGTGTTTCAAACCTGAACTATCAAAAAAGGTTCAACACTGTGAGTTGAATGCAAACATCACGAAGAAGGTTCTGAGAATGCTTCTGTTTAATTCTGTGCGGTTTATCCCTTTTCCAATGAAATCCTCAGAGAGGCCCAAATATCCACTTGCAGATTCTACAAAGAGTGTGTTTCGAAACTGCTCCATCCAAAGGAATGTTCAGCCTTGTGAGTTAAACTCAGTCGTCACAAACAGTTTTCTGAGAATGCTACTGTCTAGTTTTTCTATGAAGCAACTTCCTTTACTACCATAGGCCTCAAAGCGGTCCATATCTCCACTTGCAGATTCTACACAACGAGAGTTTCCAAAGTGCTCTGTCAAAGGGAATATTCAACTCTGTGACTTGAATGCAATCATCACAAAGTAGTTTCTGAGAATGCTTCTATCTAGCTTTACGGGAAGATAATCCTTTCCACCACAGCCTCAAAGCCCTCCAAATGTCCACTTGCAGATTCTGGAAAAAGAGTGTTTCAAAGCTTCTCTCTCGAAAGGAAAGTTCAACTCTGTGAGTTGAATGCAAGCATCACAAAGAAGTTTCTGAGAATGCTTCTGTTTAGCTTTTCTGTGAAGATTCTCCCGTTTCCAACGAAATCTTCAAAGAGGTCCAAACATCCACTTGCAGATTCCACAGAAAGAGTGTTTGGAAACTGCTGTTTGAAAAGGAACCTTCAACTCTGTGAGTTGAAGGCAATCATCACAAAGAAGTTTCTGACAATGCTTCTCTCCAGTTTTTATGTGACCATAATTCGTTTTCCACCACAGGCCTGAAAGCGCTCCAAATGTCCACTTGCAGACACTACGAAAAGCATGTTTCAGAACTACTCTATGAAAAGCAATGTGAAACTCTGGGAGTTGAACACAAACATCACAGAGAAGTTTCTGAGAATGCTTCTGTTTAGTTTTTATGTGAAGATAGTCCCGTTTCCAAAGACATCTTCGGAGAGGTCCACATATCCACTTGCAGATTCCACAAAAAGAGAGTTTCAACACTGCTCTATCCATAGGAGGGTTCAACTCTGTGAGTTGAATGCAATCATCACAGAGAAGTTTCTGAGAAGGCTTCTGTCTAGATGTTATGTGAAGATGTACCCGTTTCGAACGAAGGCCACAGAGTGGTCCAAATATCCACTTGCAGATCGTACAGAAAGAGTGTTTCAAACCTGACCTATCAAAGGAAGGTTCAACTCTGGGATTTGAATGCAAACATCACAAAGAAGTTTCTGAGAATGCTTCTGTTTAGTTAGGTGCAGTTATCCCGTTTCCAACGAAATCCTCAGAGAGGTCCAAATATCCACTTGCAGATTCTACAAAAAGTGTGTTTCAAACCTGCTCCATCCAAAGGAATGTTCAGCTCTGTGAGTTAAACTCAATCATCACAAAGTATTTTCTGAGAATGCTTCTGCCTAGTTTTTATATGAAGCTATTCCCTTTAGTACCATAGGCCTCAAAGCGCTCCAAATCTCCACTTGCAGATTCTCCAACAAGAGTGTTTCCAAACTGCTCTCTCAATAGGAATGTTCAACTCTGTGAGGTGAATGCAATCATCACAAAGTAGTTTCTGAGAATGCTTCCATCTAGTATTTATGTGAAGATATTTCCTTTTCCACCACAAGCCTCAAAGCCCTCCAAATATCCACTTGCAGATTCTAGAAAAAGAGTGTTTCATAGCTGCTCTCTCCGAAGGAAAGTTCAACTCTGGAAGTTGAATACAATCAGCACCAAGGGGTTCCTGAGAATGCTTCCGTGTAATTTTTTTGTGAAGATGATTCTGTTTCCAACGAAACCTTCAAAGAGGTCTACATGTCCCCTTGCAGATTCCACAGAAAGAGAGTTTCAAAACTGCGCTCTCAAAAGGAGTGTTCAACTCTGTGAGTTGAATGCAGTCATCACAGAAAAGTTTCTGAGAATGCTTCTGTCTAGACGTTATGTGAAGATATACCCGTTTCGATCGAAGGCCACAGAGTGGTCCAAATATCCACTTGTAGATCCTGCAAAATGAGGGTTTCAAACCTGAACTTTCCAAGGAATGTGCAATTCTGGGATTTGAATGCAAACATCACAAAGAAAATTCAGAGACTGCTTCTGTTTAGTTAGCTGAAATTATCCCGTTACCAACAAATTCCTCAGACAGGTCCAAATATCCACTTGCAGATTTTACAGAAAGTGTGTTTCGAAACTACTCCATCCCAAGGAAAGTACAGCTCTGTGAGTTCCACTCAATCATCCCAGAGGATTTTCTGAGAAAGCTTCTGTCTTGATTTTATATGAAGAAGTTATTTCCTTTAGTAGGATAGGCCTCAAAGAAGTGCAATTATCCACTTGCAGTTTCTACAAAAAGAGTGTTTCAAACCTGAACTATCAAAAAAGGTTCAACACTGTGAGTTGAATGCAAACCTCACGAAGAAGGTTCTGAGAATGCTTCTGTTTAGTTCTGTGCGGTTTATCCCTTTTCCAATGAAATCCTCAGAGAGGCCCAAATATCCACTTGCAGATTCTACAAAGAGTGTGTTTCGAAACTGCTCCATCCAAAGGAATGTTCAGCCTTGTGAGTTAAACTCAGTCGTCACAAACAGTTTTCTGAGAATGCTACTGTCTAGTTTTTCTATGAAGCTATTTCCTTTACTACCATAGGCCTCAAAGCGGTCCATATCTCCACTTGCAGATTCTACACAGCGAGAGTTTCCAAAGTGCTCTGTCAAAGGGAATATTCAACTCTGTGACTTGAATGCAATCATCACAAATTAGTTTCTGAGAATGCTTCTATCTAGTTTTTACTGGAAGAGAATTCCCTTTCCACCACAGGCCTCAAAGCCCTCCAAATATCCACTTGCAGATTCTAGAGAAAGAGTGTTTCAAAGCTTGTCTCTCAAAAGGAATGTTCAACTCTGTGAGTTGAATGCAAACATCACAAAGGAGTTTCTGAGAATGCTTCTGTTTAGCTTTTCTGTGAAGATTATCCCGTTTCCAACGATATCTTCAAAGAGGTCCAAATATCCACTTGCAGATTCCACAGAAGGCGTGCTTGGAAACTGCTGGTTGAAAAGGAACCTTCAACTCTGTGAGTTGAATGCAACCATCACAAACAAGTTCCTGACAATGCTTCTCTCTAGTGTCTATGTGACGATAATTCATTTTCCAACACAGGCCTGAAAGCTCTCCAAATGTCCACTTGCAGACAGTCCGAAAAGCATGTTTCAGAACTGCTCTATGAAAAGCAATGTGAAACTGTGTGAGGTGAACGCAAACATGAGAGAGAAGTTTCTGAGAATGCTTCTGTTTAATTTTTATGTGAAGATATTCCCGTTTCCAAAGACATCTTCAAAGAGGTCCACATATCCACTTGCAGATTCCACAAAAAGAGAGATTCAGAACTGCTATATCTATAGGAGGGTTCAACTCTGTGAGTTGAATGCAATCATCACAGAGAAGTTTCTGAGAAGGCTTCTGTCTAGATGTTATGTGAAGATGTACCCGTTTCGAACGAAGGCCACAGAGTGGTCCAAATATCCACTTGCAGATCGTACAGAAAGAGTGTTTCAAACCTGACCTATCAAAGGAAGTTTCAACTCTGGGATTTGAATGCAAATATCACAAAGAAGTTTCTGAGAATGCTTCTGTTTAGTTAGGTGCAGTTATCCCGTTTCCAACGAAATCCTCAGAGAGGTCCAAATATCCACTTGCAGATTCTACAAAAAGTGTGTTTCAAACCTGCTCCATCCAAAGGAATGTTCAGCTCTGTGAGTTCAACTCAATCATCACAAAGTATTTTCTGAGAATGCTTCTGCCTAGTTTTTATATGAAGCTATTCCCTTTAGTACCATAGGCCTCAAAGCGCTCCAAATCTCCACTTGCAGATTCTCCAACAAGAGTGTTTCCAAACTGCTCTCTCAATAGGAATGTTCAACTCTGTGAGGTGAATGCAATCATCACAAAGTAGTTTCTGAGAATGCTTCCATCTAGTATTTATGTGAAGATATTTCCTTTTCCACCACAAACCTCAAAGCCCTCCAAATATCCACTTGCAGATTCTCGAAAAAGAGTGTTTCATAGCTGCTCTCTCCGAAGGAAAGTTCAACTCTGGAAGTTGAATACAATCAGCACCAAGGGGTTCCTGAGAATGCTTCCGTGTAATTTTTTTGTGAAGATGATTCTGTTTCCAACGAAACCTTCAAAGAGGTCTACATGTCCCCTTGCAGATTCCACAGAAAGAGAGTTTCAAAACTGCGCTCTCAAAAGGAGTGTTCAACTCTGTGAGTTGAATGCAGTCATCACAGAAAAGTTTCTGAGAATGCTTCTGTCTAGACG
>NC_000017.11:26592686-26616164 GCF_000001405.40 Homo sapiens | reverse complement strand
TCTGTCTAGTTTTTATATGAAGCTATTCCCTTTACTACCATTGGCCTCAAAGCGCGCCAAATCTCCCCTTGCAAATTCTACAACAAGAAAGTTTCCAAACTGCTCTATCAATAGGAATGTTCAACTCTGTGAGGTGAATGCAATCATCACAAAGTAGTTTCTGAGAATGCTTCTATCTAATATTTATGTGAAGATATTACCTTTTCCACCACAGACCTCAAAGCCCTCCTCATGTCCACTTGCAGATTCTAGAAAAAGAGTGTTTCATAGCTGCTCTTTCCGAAGGAAAGTTCAACTCTGGAAGTTGAATACAAACAACATCAAGGAGTTCCTGAGAACGCTTCCGTGTAATTTTTTTGTGAAGATGATTCTGTTTCCAACGAAACCTTCAAAGAGGTCTACATGTCCCCTTGCAGATTCCACAGAAAGAGAGTTTCAAAACTGCGCTCTCAAAAGGAGTGTTCAACTCTGTGAGTTGAATGCAGTCATCACAGAAAAGTTTCTGAGAATGCTTCTGTCTAGACGTTATGTGAAGATATACCCGTTTCGAACGAAGGCCACAGAGTGGTCCAAATATCCACTTGTAGATCCTGCAAAATGAGGGTTTCAAACCTGAACTTTCCAAGGAAGGTGCAATTCTGGGATTTGAATGCAAACATCACAAAGAAAATTCAGAGACTGCTTCTGTTTAGTTAGCTGAAATTATCCCGTTACCAACAAATTCCTCAGACAGGTCCAAATATCCACTTGCAGATTCTACAGAAAGTGTGTTTCGAAACTACTCCATCCCAAGGAAAGTACAGCTCTGTGAGTTCAACTCAATCATCCCAGAGGATTTTCTGAGAAACCTTCTGTCTTGTTTTTATATGAAGATATTTCCTTTACTACGATAGGCCTCAAAGAAGTGCAATTATCCACTTGCAGTTTCTACAAAAAGAGTGTTTCAAACCTGAACTATCAAAGAAAGGTTCAACACTGTGAGTTGAATGCAAACCTCACGAAGAAGGTTCTGAGAATGCTTCTGTTTATTTCTGTGCGGTTTATCCCGTTTCCAGCGAAATCCTCAGAGAGGCCCAAATATCCACTGGCAGATTCTACAAGTAGTGTGTTTCGAAACTGCTCCATCCAAAGGAATGTTCAGCCCTGTGAGTTAAACTCAGTCGTCACAAAGAGTTTTCTGAGAATGCTACTGTCTAGTTTTTATATGAAGCCATTTCCTTTACTACCATAGGCCTCAAAGCGGTCCATATCTCCACTTGCAGATTCTACACAACCAGAGTTTCCAAAGTGTTCTGTCAAAGGGAATGTTCAACTCTGTGACTTGAATGCAATCATCACCAAGTAGTTTCTGAGAATGCTTCTATCTAGTTTTTACGGGAAGATAATTCCCTTTCCACCACAGGCCTCAAAGCCCTCCAAATATCCACTTGCAGAGTCTAGAGAAAGAATGTTTCACAGCTTCTCTCTCAACAGGAAAGTTCAACTCTGTGAGTTGAATGCAAACATCACAAAGAAGTTTCTGAGAATGCTTCTGTTTAGCTTTTCTGTGAAGATTATCCCGTTTCCAATGATATCTTCAAAGAGGTCCAAATATCCACTTGCAGATTCCACAGAAGGCGTGCTTGGAAACTGCTGGTTGAAAAGGAACCTTCAACTCTGTGAGTTGAATGCAACCATCACAAACAAGTTCCTGACAATGCTTCTCTCTAGTGTCTATGTGACGATAATTCATTTTCCAACACAGGCCTGAAAGCTCTCCAAATGTCCACTTGCAGACAGTCCGAAAAGCATGTTTCAGAACTGCTCTATGAAAAGCAATGTGAAACTGTGTGAGTTGAACACAAACATCACAGAGAAGTTTCTGAGAATGCTTCTGTTTAATTTTTATGTGAAGATATTCCCGTTTCCAAAGACATCTTCAAAGAGGTCCACATATCCACTTGCAGATTCCACAAAAAGAGAGATTCAGAACTGCTATATCTATAGGAGGGTTCAACTCTGTGAGTTGAATGCAATCATCACAGAGAAGTTTCTGAGAAGGCTTCTGTCTAGATGTTATGTGAAGATGTACCCGTTTCGAACGAACGCCACAGAGTGGTCCAAATATCCACTTGCAGATCGTACAGAAAGAGTGTTTCAAACCTGACCTATCAAAGGAAGTTTCAACTCTGGGATTTGAATGTAAATATCACAAAGAAGTTTCTGAGAATGCTTCTGTTTAGTTAGGTGCAGTTATCCCGTTTCCAACGAAATCCTCAGAGAGGTCCAAATATCCACTTGCAGATTCTACAAAAAGTGTGATTCAAACCTGCTCCATCCAAAGGAATGTTCAGCTCTGTGAGTTAAACTCAATCATCACAAAGTATTTTCTGAGAATGCTTCTGCCTAGTTTTTATATGAAGCTATTCCCTTTAGTACCATAGGCCTCAAAGCGCTCCAAATCTCCACTTGCAGATTCTCCAAAAAGAGTGTTTCCAAACTGCTCTCTCAATAGGAATGTTCAACTCTGTGAGGTGAATGCAATCATCACAAAGTAGTTTCTGAGAATGCTTCTATCTACTATTTATGTGAAGATATTTCTTTTTCCACCACAAACCTCAAAGCCCTCCAAATATCCACTTGCAGATTCTAGAAAAAGAGTGTTTCATAGCTGTTTTTTCCGAAAGAAAGTTCAACTCTGGAAGTTGAATACAAACATCACCAAGGAGATCCTGAGCATGCTTCCGTGTAATTTTTATGTGAAGATGATTCTGTTTCCAACGAAACCTTCAAAGAGGTCTACATGTCCCCTTGCAGATTCCACAGAAAGAGAGTTTCAAAACTGCGCTCTCAAAAGGAGTGTTCAACTCTGTGAGTTGAATGCAGTCATCACAGAAAAGTTTCTGAGAATGCTTCTGTCTAGATGTTATGTGAAGATATACCCGTTTCGAACGAAGGCCACAGAGTGGTCCAAATATCCACTTGTAGATCCTGCAAAATGAGGGTTTCAAACCTGAACTTTCCAAGGAAGGTGCAATTCTGGGATTTGAATGCAAACATCACAAAGAAAATTCAGAGACTGCTTCTGTTTAGTTAGCTGAAATTATCCCGTTTCCAACGAATTCCTCAGACAGGTCCAAATATCCACTTGCAGATTCTACAGAAAGTGTGTTTCGAAACTGCTCCATCCCAAGGAAAGTACAGCTCTGTGAGTTCAACTCAATCATCCCAGAGGATTTTCTGAGAAAGCTTCTGTCTTGTTTTTATATGAAGATATTTCCTTTACTACGATAGGCTTCAAAGAAGTGCAATTATCCACTTGCAGTTTCTACAAAAAGAGTGTTTCAAACCTGAACTATCAAAGAAAGGTTCAACACTGTGAGTTGAATGCAAACCTCACGAAGAAGGTTCTGAGAATGCTTCTGTTTAGTTCTGTGCGGTTTATCCCTTTTCCAATGAAATCCTCAGAGAGGCCCAAATATCCACTTGCAGATTCTACAAAGAGTGTGTTTCGAAACTGCTCCATCCAAAGGAATGTTCAGCCTTGTGAGTTAAACTCAGTCGTCACAAACAGTTTTCTGAGAATGCTACTGTCTAGTTTTTCTATGAAGCAACTTCCTTTACTACCATAGGCCTCAAAGCGGTCCATATCTCCACTTGCAGATTCTACACAACGAGAGTTTCCAAAGTGCTCTGTCAAAGGGAATATTCAACTCTGTGACTTGAATGCAATCATCACAAAGTAGTTTCTGAGAATGCTTCTATCTAGTTTTTACTGGAAGATAATTCCCTTTCCACCACAGGCCTCAAAGCCCTCCAAATATCCACTTGCAGATTCTAGAGAAAGAGTGTTTCAAAGCTTGTCTCTCAAAAGGAATGTTCAACTCTGTGAGTTGAATGCAAACATCACAAAGAAGTTTCTGAGAATGCTTCTGTTTAGCTTTTCTGTGAAGATTATCCCGTTTCCAACGATATCTTCAAAGAGGTCCAAATATCCACTTGCAGATTCCACAGAAGGCGTGCTTGGAAACTGCTGGTTGAAAAGGAACCTTTAACTCTGTGAGTTGAATGCAACCATCACAAACAAGTTCCTGACAATGCTTCTCTCTAGTGTTTATGTGACGATAATACATTTCCCAACACAGGCCTGAAAGCTCTCCAAATGTTCACTTGCAGACACTCCGAAAAGCATGTTTCAGAACTGCTCTATGAAAAGCAATGTGAAACTGTGTGAGTTGAACGCAAACATCAGAGAGAAGTTTCTGAGAATGCTTCTGTTTAATTTTTATGTGAAGATATTCCCGTTTCCAAAGACATCTTCAAAGAGGTCCACATATCCACTTGCAGATTCCACAAAAAGAGAGATTCAGAACTGCTATATCCATAGGAGGGTTCAACTCTGTGAGTTGAAAGCAATCATCATAGAGAAGTTTCTGAGAAGGCTTCTGTCTAGATGTAATGTGAAGATGTACCCGTTTCCAACGAAGGCCACAGAGTGGTCCAAATATCCACTTGCAGATCGTACAGAAAGAGTGTTTCAAACCTGACCTATCAAAGGAAGGATCAACTCTGGGATTTGAATGCAAACCTCTCAAAGAAGTTTCTGAGAATGCTTCTGTTTAGTTAGGTGAAGTTATCCCGTTTCCAACGAAATCCTCAGAGAGGTCCAAATATCCACTTGCAGATTCTACAAAAGGTGTGTTTCAAAACAGCTCCATCCAAAGGAATGTTCAGCTCTGTGAGTTAAACTCAATCGTCAAAAAGAATTTTCTGAGAATGCTTCTGCCTAGTTTTTATATGAAGCTATTCCCTTTAGTACCATAGGCCTCAAAGTGCTCCAAATCTCCACTTGCAGATTTTCCAACAAGAGTGTTTCCAAACTGCTCTCTCAATAGGAATGTTCAACTCTGTGAGGTGAATGCAATCATCACAAAGTAGTTTCTGAGAATGCTTCCATCTAGTATTTATGTGAAGATATTTCCTTTTCCACCACAAACCTCAAAGCCCTCCAAATATCCACTTGCAGATTCTAGAAAAAGAGTGTTTCATAGCTGCTCTCTCCGAAGGAAAGTTCAACTCTGGAAGTTGAATACAATCAGCACCAAGGGGTTCCTGAGAATGCTTCTGTGTAATTTTTATGTGAAGATGATTCTGTTTCCAACAAAACCTTCAAAGAGGTCTACATGTCCCCTTGCAGATTCCACACAAAGAGAGTTTCAAAACTGCGCTCTCAAAAGGAGTCTTCAACTCCGTGAGTTGAATGCAGTCATCACAGAAAAGTTTCTGAGAATGCTTCTGTCTAGATGTTATGTGAAGATATACCCGTTTCGAACGAAGGCCACAGAGTGGTCCAAATATCCACTTGTAGATACTGCAAAAAGAGAGTTTCAAACCTGAACTTTCAAAGGAAGGTTCAATTCTGGGATTCGAATGCAAACATCACAAAGAAGATTCGGAGATTGCTTCTGTTTAGTTAGCTGAAATTATCCCGTTACCAACAAATTCCTCAGACAGGTCCAAATATCCACTTGCAGATTCTACAGAAAGTGTGTTTCGAAACTACTCCATCCCAAGGAAAGTACAGCTCTGTGAGTTCAACTCAATCATCCCAGAGGATTTTCTGAGAAAGCTTCTGTCTTGATTTTATATGAAGAAGTTATTTCCTTTAGTAGGATAGGCCTCAAAGAAGTGCAATTATCCACTTGCAGTTTCTACACAAAGAGTGTTTCAAACCTGAACTATCAAAAAAGGTTCAACACTGTGAGTTGAATGCAAACATCACGAAGAAGGTTCTGAGAATGCTTCTGTTTAGTTCTGTGCGGTTTATCCCTTTTCCAATGAAATCCTCAGAGAGGTCCAAATATCCACTTGCAGATTCTACAAAGAGTGTGTTTCAAAACTGCTCCATCCAAAGGAATGTTCAGCCTTGTGAGTTAAACTCAGTCGTCACAAACAGTTTTCTGAGAATGCTACTGTCTAGTTTTTCTATGAAGCTATTTCCTTTACTACCATAGGCCTCAAAGCGGTCCATATCTCCACTTGCAGATTCTACACAGCGAGAGTTTCCAAAGTGCTCTGTCAAAGGGAATATTCAACTCTGTGACTTGAATGCAATCATCACAAAGTAGTTTCTGAGAATGCTTCTATCTAGTTTTTACTGGAAGAGAATTCCCTTTCCACCACAGGCCTCAAAGCCCTCCAAATATCCACTTGCAGATTCTAGAGAAAGAGTGTTTCAAAGCTTGTCTCTCAAAAGGAATGTTCAACTCTGTGAGTTGAATGCAAACATCACAAAGGAGTTTCTGAGAATGCTTCTGTTTAGCTTTTCTGTGAAGATTATCCCGTTTCCAATGATATCTTCAAAGAGGTCCAAATATCCACTTGCAGATTCCACAGAAGGCGTGCTTGGAAACTGCTGGTTGAAAAGGAACCTTTAACTCTGTGAGTTGAATGCAACCATCACAATCAAGTTCCTGACAATGCTTCTCTCTAGTGTCTATGTGACGATAATTCATTTTCCAACACAGGCCAGAAAGCTCTCCAAATGTCCACTTGCAGACAGTCCGAAAAGCATGTTTCAGAACTGCTCTATGAAAAGCAATGTGAAACTGTGTGAGTTGAACGCAAACATGAGAGAGAAGTTTCTGAGAATGCTTCTCTTTAGGTTTTATGTGAAGATATTCCCGTTTCCAAAGACATCTTCAAAGAGGTCCACATATCCACTTGCAGATTCCACAAAATGAGAGATTCAAAACTGCTCTATCCATAGGAGGGTTCAACTCTGTGAGTTGAATGCAATCATCACAGAGAAGTTTCTGAGAAGGCTTCTATCTAGATGTTATGTGAAGATGTACCCGATTCGAACGAAGGCCACAGAGTGGTCCAAATATCCACTTGCAGAACGTACAGAAAGAGTGTTTCAAACCTGACCTATCAAAGGAAGGTTCAACTCTGGGAGTTGAATGCAAACATCACAAAGAAGTTTCTGAGAATGCTTCTGTTTAGTTAGGTGCAGTTATCCCGTTTCCAACGAAATCCTCAGAGAGGTCCAAATATCCACTTGCAGATTCTACAAAAAGTGTGTTTCAAACCTGCTCCATCCAAAGGAATGTTCAGCTCTGTGAGTTAAACTCAATCATCACAAAGTATTTTCTGAGAATGCTTCTGCCTAGTTTTTATATGAAGCTATTCCCTTTAGTACCATTGGCCTCAAAGCGCTCCAAATCTCCACTTGCAGATTCTCCAACAAGAGTGTTTCCAAACTGCTCTCTCAATAGGAATGTTCAACTCTGTGAGGTGAATGCAATCATCACAAAATAGTTTCTGAGAATGCTTCCATCTAGTATTTATGTGAAGATATTTCCTTTTCCACCACAAACCTCAAAGCCCTCCAAATATCCACTTGCAGATTCTAGAAAAAGAGTGTTTCATAGCTGCTCTTTCCGAAGGAAAGTTCAACTCTGGAAGTTGAATACAATCAGCACCAAGGGGTTCCTGAGAATGCTTCCGTGTAATTTTTTTGTGAAGATGATTCTGTTTCCAACGAAACCTTCAAAGAGGTCTACATGTCCCCTTGCAGATTCCACAGAAAGAGAGTTTCAAAACTGCGCTCTCAAAAGGAGTGTTCAACTCTGTGAGTTGAATGCAGTCATCACAGAAAAGTTTCTGAGAATGCTTCTGTCTAGACGTTATGTGAAGATATACCCGTTTCGATCGAAGGCCACAGAGTGGTCCAAATATCCACTTGTAGATCCTGCAAAATGAGGGTTTCAAACCTGAACTTTCCAAGGAATGTGCAATTCTGGGATTTGAATGCAAACATCACAAAGAAAATTCAGAGACTGCTTCTGTTTAGTTAGCTGAAATTATCCCGTTACCAACAAATTCCTCAGACAGGTCCAAATATCCACTTGCAGATTTTACAGAAAGTGTGTTTCGAAACTACTCCATCCCAAGGAAAGTACAGCTCTGTGAGTTCCACTCAATCATCCCAGAGGATTTTCTGAGAAAGCTTCTGTCTTGATTTTATATGAAGAAGTTATTTCCTTTAGTAGGATAGGCCTCAAAGAAGTGCAATTATCCACTTGCAGTTTCTACACAAAGAGTGTTTCAAACCTGAACTATCAAAAAAGGTTCAACACTGTGAGTTGAATGCAAACATCACGAAGAAGGTTCTGAGAATGCTTCTGTTTAGTTCTGTGCGGTTTATCCCTTTTCCAATGAAATCCTCAGAGAGGCCCAAATATCCACTTGCAGATTCTACAAAGAGTGTGTTTCGAAACTGCTCCATCCAAAGGAATGTTCAGCCTTGTGAGTTAAACTCAGTCGTCACAAACAGTTTTCTGAGAATGCTACTGTCTAGTTTTTATATGAAGCTATTTCCTTTACTACCATAGGCCTCAAAGCGGTCCATATCTCAACTTGCAGACGCTACACAACGAGAGTTTCCAAAGTGCTCTGTCAAAGGGAATGTTCAACTCTGTGAGGTGAATGCAATCATCACAAAGTAGTTTCTGAGAATGCTTCTATCTACTATTTATGTGAAGATATTTCTTTTTCCACCACAAACCTCAAAGCCCTCCAAATGTCCACTTGCAGATTCTAGAAAAAGAGTGTTTCATAGCTGTTCTTTCCGAAGGAAAGTTCAACTCTGGAAGTTGAATACAAACATCACCAAGGAGATCCTGAGCATGCTTCTGTTTAGCTTTTCTGTGAAGATTATCCCGTTTCCAACGATATCTTCAAAGAGGTCCAAATATCCACTTGCAGATTCCACAGAAGGCGTGCTTGGAAACTGCTGTTTGAAAAGGAACCTTCAACTCTGTGAGTTGAATGCAACCATCACAAACAAGTTCCTGACAATGCTTCTCTCTAGTTTTTATGTGACGATAATTCGTTTTCCAACACAGGCCAGAAGGCTCTCCAAATGTCCACTTGCAGACACTCCGAAAAGCATGTTCCAGAACTGCTCTATGAAAAGCAATGTGAAACTCTGTGAGGTGAATGCAAACATGACAGAGAAGTTTCTGAGAATGCTTCTGTTTAATTTTTATGTGAAGTATATTCCCGTTTCCAAAGACATCTTCAAAGAGGTCCACATATCCACTTGCAGATTCCACAAAAAGAGAGATTCAGAACTGCTATATCCATAGGAGGGTTCAACTCTGTGAGTTGAATGCAATCATCACAGAGAAGTTTCTGAGAAGGCTTCTGTCTAGATGTAATGTGAAGATGTACCCGTTTCCAACGAAGGCCACAGAGTGGTCCAAATATCCACTTGCAGATCGTAAAAAAAGAGTGTTTCAAACCTGACCTATCAAAGGAAGGATCAACTCTGGGATTTGAATGCAAACATCACAAAGAAGTTTCTGAGAATGCTTCTGTTTAGTTAGGTGCAGTTATCCCGTTTCCAACGAAATCCTCAGAGAGGTCCAAATATCCACTTGCAGATTCTACAAAAAGTGTGATTCAAACCTGCTCCATCCAAAGGAATGTTCAGCTCTGTGAGTTAAACTCAATCATCAAAAAGTATTTTCTGAGAATGTTTCTGCCTAGTTTTTATATGAAGCTATTCCCTTTAGTACCATAGGCCTCAAAGCGCTCCAAATCTCCACTTTCAGATTCTCCAACAAGAGTGTTTCCAAACTGCTCTCTCAATAGGAATGTTCAACTCTGTGAGGTGAATGCAATCATCACAAAGTTAGTTTCTGAGAATGCTTCCATCTAGTATTTATGTGAAGATATTTCCTTTTCCACCACAAACCTCAAAGCCCTCCAAATATCCACTTGCAGATTCTAGAAAAAGAGTGTTTCATAGCTGCTCTTTCCGAAGGAAAGTTCAACTCTGGAAGTTGAATACAAACAACATCAAGGAGTTCCTGAGAACGCTTCTGTGTAATTTTTATGTGAAGATGATTCTGTTTCCAACAAAACCTTCAAAGAGGTCTACATGTCCCCTTGCAGATTCCACAGAAAGAGAGTTTCAAAACTGCGCTCTCAAAAGGAGTCTTCAACTCTGTGAGTTGAA
The DNA here is from genome assembly GCF_000001405.40 of Homo sapiens. Classification (NCBI taxonomy): domain Eukaryota; kingdom Metazoa; phylum Chordata; class Mammalia; order Primates; family Hominidae; genus Homo; species Homo sapiens. The sequence continues at coordinate 26,606,158 of NC_000017.11, read as the reverse complement.
TGCAGTCATCACAGAAAAGTTTCTGAGAATGCTTCTGTCTAGACGTTATGTGAAGATATACCCGTTTCGAACGAAGGCCACAGAGTGGTCCAAATATCCACTTGTAGATCCTGCAAAATGAGGGTTTCAAACCTGAACTTTCCAAGGAATGTGCAATTCTGGGATTTGAATGCAAACATCACAAAGAAAATTCAGAGACTGCTTCTGTTTAGTTAGCTGAAATTATCCCGTTACCAACAAATTCCTCAGACAGGTCCAAAAATCCACTTGCAGATTCTACAGAAAGTGTGTTTCGAAACTACTCCATCCCAAGGAAAGTACAGCTCTGTGAGTTCAACTCAATCATCCCAGAGGATTTTCTGAGAAAGCTTCTGTCTTGATTTTATATGAAGAAGTTATTTCCTTTAGTAGGATAGGCCTCAAAGAAGTGCAATTATCCACTTGCAGTTTCTACAAAAAGAGTGTTTCAAACCTGAACTATCAAAAAAGGTTCAACACTGTGAGTTGAATGCAAACCTCACGAAGAAGGTTCTGAGAATGCTTCTGTTTAGTTCTGTGCGGTTTATCCCTTTTCCAATGAAATCCTCAGAGAGGCCCAAATATCCACTTGCAGATTCTACAAAGAGTGTGTTTCGAAACTGCTCCATCCAAAGGAATGTTCAGCCTTGTGAGTTAAACTCAGTCGTCACAAACAGTTTTCTGAGAATGCTACTGTCTAGTTTTTCTATGAAGCTATTTCCTTTACTACCATAGGCCTCAAAGCGGTCCATATCTCCACTTGCAGATTCTACACAGCGAGAGTTTCCAAAGTGCTCTGTCAAAGGGAATATTCAACTCTGTGACTTGAATGCAATCATCACAAAGTAGTTTCTGAGAATGCTTCTATCTAGTTTTTACTGGAAGAGAATTCCCTTTCCACCACAGGCCTCAAAGCCCTCCAAATATCCACTTGCAGATTCTAGAGAAAGAGTGTTTCAAAGCTTGTCTCTCAAAAGGAATGTTCAACTCTGTGAGTTGAATGCAAACATCACAAAGAAGTTTCTGAGAATGCTTCTGTTTAGCTTTTCTGTGAAGATTATCCCGTTTCCAACGATATCTTCAAAGAGGTCCAAATATCCACTTGCAGATTCCACAGAAGGCGTGCTTGGAAACTGCTGGTTGAAAAGGAACCTTCAACACTGTGAGTTGAATGCAACCATCACAAACAAGTTCCTGACAATGCTTCTCTCTAGTGTCTATGTGACGATAATTCATTTTCCAACACAGGCCTGAAAGCTCTCCAAATGTCCACTTGCAGACAGTCCGAAAAGCATGTTTCAGAACTGCTCTATGAAAAGCAATGTGAAACTGTGTGAGTTGAACGCAAACATGAGAGAGAAGTTTCTGAGAATGCTTCTGTTTAATTTTTATGTGAAGATATTCCCGTTTCCAAAGACATCTTCAAAGAGGTCCACATATCCACTTGCAGATTCCACAAAAAGAGAGATTCAGAACTGCTATATCCATAGGAGGGTTCAACTCTGTGAGTTGAATGCAATCATCACAGAGAAGTTTCTGAGAAGGCTTCTGTCTAGATGTTATGTGAAGATGTACCCGTTTCGAACGAAGGCCACAGAGTGGTCCAAATATCCACTTGCAGATCGTACAGAAAGAGTGTTTCAAACCTGACCTATCAAAGGAAGTTTCAACTCTGGGATTTGAATGCAAATATCACAAAGAAGTTTCTGAGAATGCTTCCGTTTAGTTAGGTGCAGTTATCCCGTTTCCAACGAAATCCTCAGAGAGGTCCAAATATCCACTTGCAGATTCTACAAAAAGTGTGATTCAAACCTGCTCCATCCAAAGGAATGTTCAGCTCTGTGAGTTAAACTCAATCATCACAAAGTATTTTCTGAGAATGCTTCTGTCTAGTTTTTCTATGAAGCTATTCCCTTTACTACCATAGGCCTCAAAGCACTCCAAATCTCCACTTGCACATTCCACAACAAGAGTGTTTCCAAACTGCTCTATCAATAGGAATGGTCAACTCTGTGAGGTGAATGCAATCATCACAAAGCAGTTTCTGAGAATGCTTCTCTCTAGTATTTAGGTGAAGATATTTCCTTTTCCACCACAAACCACAAAGCCCTCCAATCGTCCACTTGCAGATTCTAGAAAAAGAGTGTTTCATAGCTGCTCTTTCCAAAGGAAAGTTCAACTCTGGGAGTTGAATACAAACATCACCAAAAAGTTCCTGAGAATGCATCTGTATAGTTTTTATGTGAAGATGATTCCGTTTCCAACGAAATCTTCAAAGAGGTCTACATGTCCCCTTGCAGATGCCACAGAAAGAGAGTTTCAAAACTGCGCTCTCAAAAGGAGTGTTCAACTCCGTGAGTTGAATGCAGTCATCACAGAGAAGCTTCTGAGAATGCTTCTGTCTAGACGTTATGTGAAGATATACCCGTTTCGAACGAAGGCCACAGAGTGGTCCAAATATCCACTTGTAGATCCTGCAAAATGAGGGTTTCAAACCTGAACTTTCCAAGGAATGTGCAATTCTGGGATTTGAATGCAAACATCACAAAGAAAATTCAGAGACTGCTTCTGTTTAGTTAGCTGAAGTTATCCCGTTTCCAACGAATTCCTCAGACAGGTCCAAATATCCACTTGCAGATTCTACAGAAAGTGTGTTTCGAAACTACTCCATCCCAAGGAAAGTACAGCTCTGTGAGTTCAACTCAATCATCCCAGAGGTTTTTCTGAGAAAGCTTCTGTCTTGTTTTTATATGAAGATATTTCCTTTACGACGATAGGCCTCAAAGAAGTGCAATTATCCACTTGCAGTTTCTACAAAAAGAGTGTTTCAAACCTGAACTATCAAAGAAAGGTTCAACACTGTGAGTTGAATGCAAACCTCACGAAGAAGGTTCTGAGAATGCTTCTGTATAGTTCTGTGCAGTTTATCCCGTTTCCAACGAAATCCTCAGAGATGCCCAAATATCCACTTGCAGATTCTACAAAGAGTGTGTTTCGAAAATGCTCCATCCAAAGGAATCTTCAGCCCTGTCAGTTAAACTCAGTCGTCACAAAGAGTTTTCTGAGAATGCTACTGTCTAGTTTTTCTATGAAGCTATTTCCTTTACTACCATAGGCCTCAAAGCGGTCCATATCTCCACTTGCAGATTCTACACAGCGAGAGTTTCCAAAGTGCTCTGTCAAAGGGAATATTCAACTCTGTGACTTGAATGCAATCATCACAAAGTAGTTTCTGAGAATGCTTCTATCTAGTTTTTACTGGAAGAGAATTCCCTTTCCACCACAGGCCTCAAAGCCCTCCAAATATCCACTTGCAGATTCTAGAGAAAGAGTGTTTCAAAGCTTGTCTCTCAAAAGGAATGTTCAACTCTGTGAGTTGAATGCAAACATCACAAAGGAGTTTCTGAGAATGCTTCTGTTTAGCTTTTCTGTGAAGATTATCCCGTTTCCAACGATATCTTCAAAGAGGTCCAAATATCCACTTGCAGATTCCACAGAAGGCGTGCTTGGAAACTGCTGGTTGAAAAGGAACCTTCAACTCTGTGAGTTGAATGCAACCATCACAAACAAGTTCCTGACAATGCTTCTCTCTAGTGTCTATGTGACGATAATTCATTTTCCAACACAGGCCTGAAAGCTCTCCAAATGTCCACTTGCAGACAGTCCGAAAAGCATGTTTCAGAACTGCTCTATGAAAAGCAATGTGAAACTGTGTGAGTTGAACGCAAACATGAGAGAGAAGTTTCTGAGAATGCTTCTGTTTAATTTTTATGTGAAGATATTCCCGTTTCCAAAGACATCTTCAAAGAGGTCCACATATCCACTTGCAGATTCCACAAAAAGAGAGATTCAGAACTGCTATATCTATAGGAGGGTTCAACTCTGTGAGTTGAATGCAATCATCAAAGAGAAGTTTCTGAGAAGGCTTCTGTCTAAATGTTATGTGAAGTTGTACCCGTTTCCAACGAAGGCCACAGAGTGGTCCAAATATCCACTTGCAGATCCTACAAAAAGAGTGATTCAAACCTGAACTATCAAAGGAAGGTCTAACACTGGGATCTGAATGCAAACATCACAAAGAAGTTTCTGAGAATGCTTCTGTTTAGTTAGGTGACGTTATCCCGTTTCCAACGAAATCCTCAGAGAGGTCCAAATATCCACTTGCAGATGCTACAAAAAGTGTGTTTCAAAACTGCTCCATCCAAAGGAATGTTCAGCTCTGTGAGTTACACTCAATCATCACAAAGTATTTTCTGAGAATGCTTCTGCCTAGTTTTTATATGAAGCTATTCCCTTTAGTACCATAGGCCTCAAAGCGCTCCAAATCTCCACTTGCAGATTCTCCAACAAGAGTGTTTCCAAACTGCTCTCTCAATAGGAATGTTCAACTCTGTGAGGTGAATGCAATCATCACAAAGTAGTTTCTGAGAATGCTTCCATCTAGTATTTATGTGAAGATATTTCCTTTTCCACCACAAACCTCAAAGCCCTCCAAATATCCACTTGCAGATTCTAGAAAAAGAGTGTTTCATAGCTGCTCTTTCCGAAGGAAAGTTCAACTCTGGAAGTTGAATACAATCAGCACCAAGGGGTTCCTGAGAATGCTTCTGTGTAATTTTTATGTGAAGATGATTCTGTTTCCAACAAAACCTTCAAAGAGGTCTACATGTCCCCTTGCAGATTCCACAGAAAGAGAGTTTCAAAACTGCGCTCTCAAAAGGAGTGTTCAACTCTGTGAGTTGAATGCAGTCATCACAGAAAAGTTTCTGAGAATGCTTCTGTCTAGATGTTATGTGAAGATATACCCGTTTCGAACGAAGGCCACAGAGTGGTCCAAATATCCACTTGTAGATACTGCAAAAAGAGAGTTTCAAACCTGAACTTTCAAAGGAAGGTTCAATTCTGGGATTCGAATGCAAACATCACAAAGAAGATTCTGAGATTGCTTCTGTTTAGTTAGCTGAAATTATCCCGTTACCAACAAATTCCTCAGACAGGTCCAAATATCCACTTGCAGATTCTACAGAAAGTGTGTTTCGAAACTACTCCATCCCAAGGAAAGTACAGCTCTGTGAGTTCAACTCAATCATCCCAGAGGATTTTCTGAGAAACCTTCTGTCTTGATTTTATATGAAGAAGTTATTTCCTTTAGTAGGATAGGCCTCAAAGAAGTGCAATTATCCACTTGCAGTTTCTACAAAAAGAGTGTTTCAAACCTGAACTATCAAAAAAGGTTCAACACTGTGAGTTGAATGCAAACATCACGAAGAAGGTTCTGAGAATGCTTCTGTTTAGTTCTGTGCGGTTTATCCCTTTTCCAATGAAATCCTCAGAGAGGCCCATATATCCACTTGCAGATTCTACAAAGAGTGTGTTTCGAAACTGCTCCATCCAAAGGAATGTTCAGCCTTGTGAGTTAAACTCAGTCGTCACAAACAGTTTTCTGAGAATGCTACTGTCTAGTTTTTCTATGAAGCTATTTCCTTTACTACCATAGGCCTCAAAGCGGTCCATATCTCCACTTGCAGATTCTACACAGCGAGAGTTTCCAAAGTGCTCTGTCAAAGGGAATATTCAACTCTGTGACTTGAATGCAATCATCACAAAGTAGTTTCTGAGAATGCTTCTATCTAGTTTTTACTGGAAGAGAATTCCCTTTCCAGCACAGGCCTCAAAGCCCTCCAAATATCCACTTGCAGATTCTAGAGAAAGAGTGTTTCAAAGCTTGTCTCTCAAAAGGAATGTTCAACTCTGTGAGTTGAATGCAAACATCACAAAGGAGTTTCTGAGAATGCTTCTGTTTAGCTTTTCTGTGAAGATTATCCCGTTTCCAACGATATCTTCAAAGAGGTCCAAATATCCACTTGCAGATTCCACAGAAGGCGTGCTTGGAAACTGCTGGTTGAAAAGGAACCTTCAACACTGTGAGTTGAATGCAACCATCACAAACAAGTTCCTGACAATGCTTCTCTCTAGTGTCTATGTGACGATAATTCATTTTCCAACACAGGCCTGAAAGCTCTCCAAATGTCCACTTGCAGACAGTCCGAAAAGCATGTTTCAGAACTGCTCTATGAAAAGCAATGTGAAACTCTGTGAGGTGAACGCAAACATGAGAGAGAAGTTTCTGAGAATGCTTCTGTTTAATTTTTATGTGAAGATATTCCCGTTTCCAAAGACATCTTCAAAGAGGTCCACATATCCACTTGCAGATTCCACAAAAAGAGAGATTCAGAACTGCTATATCTATAGGAGGGTTCAACTCTGTGAGTTGAATGCAATCATCACAGAGAAGTTTCTGAGAAGGCTTCTGTCTAGATGTTATGTGAAGATGTACCCGTTTCCAACGAAGGCCACAGAGTGGTCCAAATATCCACTTGCAGATCGTACAGAAAGAGTGTTTCAAACCTGACCTATCAAAGGAAGTTTCAACTCTGGGATTTGAATGCAAATATCACAAAGAAGTTTCTGAGAATGTTTCTGTTTAGTTAGGTGCAGTTATCCCGTTTCCAACGAAATCCTCAGTAGAGGTCCAAATATCCACTTGCAGATTCTACAAAAAGTGTGTTTCAAACCTGCTCCATCCAAAGGAATGTTCAGCTCTGTGAGTTAAACTCAATCATCACAAAGTATTTTCTGAGAATGCTTCTGTCTAGTTTTTATATGAAGCTATTCCCTTTAGTACCATAAGCCTCAAAGCGCTCCAAATCTCCACTTGCAGATTCTCCAACAAGAGTGTTTCCAAACTGCTCTCTAAATAGGAATGTTCAACTCTGTGAGGTGAATGCAATCATCAGAAAGTAGTTTCTGAGAATGCTTCCATCTAGTATTTATGTGAAGATATTTCCTTTTCCACCACAAACCTCAAAGCCCTCCAAATATCCACTTGCAGATTCTAGAAAAAGAGTGTTTCATAGCTGCTCTTTCCGAAGGAAAGTTCAACTCTGGAAGTTGAATACAATCAGCACCAAGGGGTTCCTGAGAATGCTTCCGTGTAATTTTTTTGTGAAGATGATTCTGTTTCCAACGAAACCTTCAAAGAGGTCTACATGTCCCCTTGCAGATTCCACAGAAAGAGAGTTTCAAAACTGCGCTCTCAAAAGGAGTGTTCAACTCTGTGAGTTGAATGCAGTCATCACAGAAAAGTTTCTGAGAATGCTTCTGTCTAGACGTTATGTGAAGATATACCCGTTTCGAACGAAGGCCACAGAGTGGTCCAAATATCCACTTGTAGATCCTGCAAAATGAGGGTTTCAAACCTGAACTTTCCAAGGAAGGTGCAATTCTGGGATTTGAATGCAAACATCACAAAGAAAATTCAGAGACTGCTTCTGTTTAGTTAGCTGAAATTATCCCGTTACCAACAAATTCCTCAGACAGGTCCAAATATCCACTTGCAGATTCTACAGAAAGTGTGTTTCGAAACTACTCCATCCCAAGGAAAGTACAGCTCTGTGAGTTCAACTCAATCATCCCAGAGGATTTTCTGAGAAAGCTTCTGTCTTGATTTTATATGAAGAAGTTATTTCCTTTAGTAGGATAGGCCTCAAAGAAGTGCAATTATCCACTTGCAGTTTCTACACAAAGAGTGTTTCAAACCTGAACTATCAAAAAAGGTTCAACACTGTGAGTTGAATGCAAACATCACGAAGAAGGTTCTGAGAATGCTTCTGTTTAGTTCTGTGCGGCTTATCCCTTTTCCAATGAAATCCTCAGAGAGGCCCAAATATCCACTTGCAGATTCTACAAAGAGTGTGTTTCGAAACTGCTCCATCCAAAGGAATGTTCAGCCTTGTGAGTTAAACTCAGTCGTCACAAACAGTTTTCTGAGAATGCTACTGTCTAGTTTTTCTATGAAGCTATTTCCTTTACTACCATAGGCCTCAAAGCGGTCCATATCTCCACTTGCAGATTCTACACAGCGAGAGTTTCCAAAGTGCTCTGTCAAAGGGAATATTCAACTCTGTGACTTGAATGCAATCATCACAAAGTAGTTTCTGAGAATGCTTCTATCTAGTTTTTACTGGAAGAGAATTCCCTTTCCACCACAGGCCTCAAAGCCCTCCAAATATCCACTTGCAGATTCTAGAGAAAGAGTGTTTCAAAGCTTGTCTCTCAAAAGGAATGTTCAACTCTGTGAGTTGAATGCAAACATCACAAAGGAGTTTCTGAGAATGCTTCTGTTTAGCTTTTCTGTGAAGATTATCCCGTTTCCAACGATATCTTCAAAGAGGTCCAAATATCCACTTGCAGATTCCACAGAAGGCGTGCTTGGAAACTGCTGTTTGAAAAGGAACCTTCAACTCTGTGAGTTGAATGCAACCATCACAAACAAGTTCCTGACAATGCTTCTCTCTAGTGTCTATGTGACGATAATTCATTTTCCAACACAGGCCAGAAAGCTCTCCAAATGTCCACTTGCAGACAGTCCGAAAAGCATGTTTCAGAACTGCTCTATGAAAAGCAATGTGAAACTGTGTGAGTTGAACGCAAACATGAGAGAGAAGTTTCTGAGAATGCTTCTGTTTAATTTTTATGTGAAGATATTCCCGTTTCCAAAGACATCTTCAAAGAGGTCCACATATCCACTTGCAGATTCCACAAAAAGAGAGATTCAGAACTGCTATATCCATAGGAGGGTTCAACTCTGTGAGTTGAATGCAATCATCACAGAGAAGTTTCTGAGAAGGCTTCTGTCTAGATGTTATGTGAAGTTGTACCCGTTTACAACGAAGGCCACAGAGTGGTCCAAATATCCACTTGCAGATCGTACAGAAAGAGTGTTTCAAACCTGACCTATCAAAGGAAGTTTCAACTCTGGGATTTGAATGCAAATATCACAAAGAAGTTTCTGAGAATGCTTCTGTTTAGTTAGGTGCAGTTATCCCGTTTCCAACGAAATCCTCAGAGAGGTCCAAATATCCACTTGCAGATTCTACAAAAAGTGTGTTTCAAACCTGCTCCATCCAAAGGAATGTTCAGCTCTGTGAGTTAAACTCAATCATCACAAAGTATTTTCTGAGAATGCTTCTGTCTAGTTTTTATATGAAGCTATTCCCTTTAGTACCATAGGCCTCAAAGCGCTCCAAATCTCCACTTGCAGATTCTCCAACAAGAGTGTTTCCAAACTGCTCTCTAAATAGGAATGTTCAACTCTGTGAGGTGAATGCAATCATCAGAAAGTAGTTTCTGAGAATGCTCCCATCTAGTGTTTATGTGAAGATATTTCCTTTTCCACCACAAACCTCAAAGCCCTCCAAATATCCACTTGCAGATTCTGGAAAATGAGTGATTCGTAGCTGCTCTTTCCGAAGGAAAGTTCGACTCTGGAAGTTGAATACAAACAGCACCAAGGGGTTCCTGAGAATGCTTCCCTGTAATTTTTATGTGAAGATGATTCTGTTTCCAACGAAACCTTCAAAGAGGTCTACATGTCCCCTTGCAGATTCCACAGAAAGAGAGATTCGAAACTGCACTCTCAAAAGGAGTGTTCAACTCCGTGAGTTGAATGCAGTCATCACAGAGAAGCTTCTGAGAGTGCTTCTGTCTAGATGTTATGTGAAGATATACCCGTTTCGAACGAAGGCCACAGAGTGGTCCAAATATCCACTTGTAGGTCCTGGAAAAAGAGGGTTTCAAAACTGAACTTTCCAAGGAAGGTGCAACTCTGGGATTTGAATGCAAACATCACAAAGAAGATTCTGAGACTGCTTCTGTTTAGTTAGCTGAAATTATCCCGTTTCCAACGAATTCCTCAGACAGGTCCAAATATCCACTTGCAGATTCTACATAAAGTGTGTTTCGAAACTACTCCATCCCAAGGAAAGTACAGCTCTGTGAGTTCAACTCAATCATCCCAGAGGATTTTCTGAGAAAGCTTCTGTCTTGTTTTTAGATGAAGTTATTTCCTTTACTAGCATAGGCCTCAAAGAAGTGCAATTATCCACTTGAAGTTTGAACAAAAAGAGTGTTTCAAACCTGAACTATCAAAGAAAGGTTCAACACTGTGAGTTGAAGGCAAACATCACGAAGAAGATTCTGGGAATGCTTCTGTTTAGTTCTGTGCGGCTTATCCCTTTTCCAATGAAATCCTCAGAGAGGCCCAAATATCCACTTGCAGATTCTACAAAGAGTGTGTTTCGAAACTGCTCCATCCAAAGGAATGTTCAGCCTTGTGAGTTAAACTCAGTCGTCACAAACAGTTTTCTGAGAATGCTACTGTCTAGTTTTTCTATGAAGCTATTTCCTTTACTACCATAGGCCTCAAAGCGGTCCATATCTCCACTTGCAGATTCTACACAGCGAGAGTTTCCAAAGTGCTCTGTCAAAGGGAATATTCAACTCTGTGACTTGAATGCAATCATCACAAAGTAGTTTCTGAGAATGCTTCTATCTAGTTTTTACTGGAAGAGAATTCCCTTTCCAGCACAGGCCTCAAAGCCCTCCAAATATCCACTTGCAGATTCTAGAGAAAGAGTGTTTCAAAGCTTGTCTCTCAAAAGGAATGTTCAACTCTGTGAGTTGAATGCAAACATCACAAAGGAGTTTCTGAGAATGCTTCTGTTTAGCTTTTCTGTGAAGATTATCCCGTTTCCAACGATATCTTCAAAGAGGTCCAAATATCCACTTGCAGATTCCACAGAAGGCGTGCTTGGAAACTGCTGTTTGAAAAGGAACATTCAACTCTGTGAGTTGAATGCAACCATCACAAACAAGTTCCTGACAATGCTTCTCTCTAGTGTCTATGTGACGATAATTCATTTTCCAACACAGGCCTGAAAGCTCTCCAAATGTCCACTTGCAGACAGTCCGAAAAGCATGTTTCAGAACTGCTCTATGAAAAGCAATGTGAAACTGTGTGAGTTGAACGCAAACATGAGAGAGAAGTTTCTGAGAATGCTTCTGTTTAATTTTTATGTGAAGATATTCCCGTTTCCAAAGACATCTTCAAAGAGGTCCACATATCCACTTGCAGATTCCACAAAAAGAGAGATTCAGAACTGCTATATCTATAGGAGGGTTCAACTCTGTGAGTTGAATGCAATCATCACAGAGAAGTTTCTGAGAAGGCTTCTGTCTAGATGTTATGTGAAGATGTACCCGTTTCGAACGAAGGCCACAGAGTGGTCCAAATATCCACTTGCAGATCGTACAGAAAGAGTGTTTCAAACCTGACCTATCAAAGGAAGTTTCAACTCTGGGATTTGAATGCAAACATCACCAAGAAGTTTCTGAGAATGCTTCCGTTTAGTTAGGTGCAGTTATCCCGTTTCCAACGAAATCCTCAGAGAGGTCGAAATATCCACTTGTAGATTCTACAAAAAGTGTGTTTCAAACCTGCTCCATCCAAAGGAATGTTCAGCTCTGTGAGTTAAACTCAATCATCACAAAGTATTTTCTGAGAATGCTTCTGCCTAGTTTTTATATGAAGCTATTCCCTTTAGTACCATAGGCCTCAAAGCGCTCCAAATCTCCACTTGCAGATTCTCCAACAAGAGTGTTTCCAAACTGCTCTCTCAATAGGAATGTTCAACTCTGTGAGGTGAATGCAATCATCACAAAGTAGTTTCTGAGAATGCTTCTCTCTAGTATTTAGGTGAAGATATTTCCTTTTCCACCACAAACCACAAAGCCCTCCAATCGTCCACTTGCAGATTCTAGAAAAAGAGTGTTTCATAGCTGCTCTTTCCAAAGGAAAGTTCAACTCTGGGAGTTGAATACAAACATCACCAAAAAGTTCCTGAGAATGCATCCGTGTAATTTTTTTGTGAAGATGATTCTGTTTCCAACGAAACCTTCAAAGAGGTCTACATGTCCCCTTGCAGATTCCACAGAAAGAGAGTTTCAAAACTGCGCTCTCAAAAGAAGTGTTCAACTCTGTGAGTTGAATGCAGTCATCACAGAAAAGTTTCTGAGAATGCTTCTGTCTAGACGTTATGTGAAGATATACCCGTTTCGAACGAAGGCCACAGAGTGGTCCAAATATCCACTTGTAGATCCTGCAAAATGAGGGTTTCAAACCTGAACTTTCCAAGGAAGGTGCAATTCTGGGATTTGAATGCAAACATCACAAAGAAAATTCAGAGACTGCTTCTGTTTAGTTAGCTGAAATTATCCCGTTACCAACAAATTCCTCAGACAGGTCCAAATATCCACTTGCAGATTCTACAGAAAGTGTGTTTCGAAACTACTCCATCCCAAGGAAAGTACAGCTCTGTGAGTTCAACTCAATCATCCCAGAGGATTTTCTGAGAAAGCTTCTGTCTTGATTTTATATGAAGAAGTTATTTCCTTTAGTAGGATAGGCCTCAAAGAAGTGCAATTATCCACTTGCAGTTTCTACACAAAGAGTGTTTCAAACCTGAACTATCAAAAAAGGTTCAACACTGTGAGTTGAATGCAAACATCACGAAGAAGGTTCTGAGAATGCTTCTGTTTAGTTCTGTGCAGCTTATCCCTTTTCCAATGAAATCCTCAGAGAGGCCCAAATATCCACTTGCAGATTCTACAAAGAGTGTGTTTCGAAACTGCTCCATCCAAAGGAATGTTCAGCCTTGTGAGTTAAACTCAGTCGTCACAAACAGTTTTCTGAGAATGCTACTGTCTAGTTTTTCTATGAAGCTATTTCCTTTACTACCATAGGCCTCAAAGCGGTCCATATCTCCACTTGCAGATTCTACACAGCGAGAGTTTCCAAAGTGCTCTGTCAAAGGGAATATTCAACTCTGTGACTTGAATGCAATCATCACAAAGTAGTTTCTGAGAATGCTTCTATCTAGTTTTTACTGGAAGAGAATTCCCTTTCCACCACAGGCCTCAAAGCCCTCCAAATATCCACTTGCAGATTCTAGAGAAAGAGTGTTTCAAAGCTTGTCTCTCAAAAGGAATGTTCAACTCTGTGAGTTGAATGCAAACATCACAAAGGAGTTTCTGAGAATGCTTCTGTTTAGCTTTTCTGTGAAGATTATCCCGTTTCCAACGATATCTTCAAAGAGGTCCAAATATCCACTTGCAGATTCCACAGAAGGCGTGCTTGGAAACTGCTGGTTGAAAAGGAACCTTCAACTCTGTGAGTTGAATGCAACCATCACAAACAAGTTCCTGACAATGCTTCTCTCTAGTGTCTATGTGACGATAATTCATTTTCCAACACAGGCCTGAAAGCTCTCCAAATGTCCACTTGCAGACAGTCCGAAAAGCATGTTTCAGAACTGCTCTATGAAAAGCAATGTGAAACTCTGTGAGGTGAACGCAAACATGAGAGAGAAGTTTCTGAGAATGCTTCTGTTTAATTTTTATGTGAAGATATTCCCGTTTCCAAAGACATCTTCAAAGAGGTCCACATATCCACTTGCAGATTCCACAAAAAGAGAGATTCAGAACTGCTATATCTATAGGAGGGTTCAACTCTGTGAGTTGAATGCAATCATCACAGAGAAGTTTCTGAGAAGGCT
>NC_000017.11:26570014-26592586 GCF_000001405.40 Homo sapiens | reverse complement strand
GAAGCATTGGCAGAAACTTCTTTGGGATGTTTGCATTTTATGTTTGTTGAAATAGAGAGTTGATGACTGGAGCTCATTCAGGCATTTCAGTTCCTGAGGCGGAAGTCCTAGTCTGAGTATGATTGAACAGAAAGAGAGAGGAGCTTTGGTCCCTGATAATTTTATGAATTTCAACAGGATGCCTTTATCTTGATGTCTTTATATGAAAGCGAATCAATCTGTATCTTTCCTGGAAAGAGACAGAGAGAGACGGAGAGGGAGAGAGGGAGAGAGAGAGAAAGAGGGAGGGTCTGTTTAGTTAGGTGACGTTATCCCGTTTCCAACGAAATCCTCGGAGAGGTCCAAATATCCACTTGCAGATGCTACAAAAAGTGTGTTTCAAAACTGCTCCATTCAAAGGAATGTTCAGCTCTGTGAGTTACACTCAATCATCACAAAGTATTTTCTGAGAATGCTTCTGCCTAGTTTTTATATGAAGCTATTCCCTTTAGTACCATAGGCCTCAAAGCGCTCCAAATCTCCACTTGCAGATTCTCCAACAAGAGTGTTTCCAAACTGCTCTCTCAATAGGAATGTTCAACTCTGTGAGGTGAATGCAATCATCACAAAGTAGTTTCTGAGAATGCTTCCATCTAGTATTTATGTGAAGATATTTCCTTTTCCACCACAAACCTCAAAGCCCTCCAAATATCCACTTGCAGATTCTAGAAAAAGAGTGTTTCATAGCTGCTCTCTCCGAAGGAAAGTTCAACTCTGGAAGTTGAATACAATCAGCACCAAGGGGTTCCTGAGAATGCTTCTGTGTAATTTTTATGTGAAGATGATTCCGTTTCCAAACGAAACCTTCAAAGAGGTCTACATGTCCCCTTGCAGATTCCACAGAAAGAGAGTTTCAAAACTGCGCTCTCAAAAGGAGTGTACAACTCTGTGAGTGGAATGCAGTCATCACAGAAAAGTTTCTGAGAATGCTTCTGTCTAGACGTTATGTGAAGATATACCCGTTTCGAACGAAGGCCACAGAGTGGTCCAAATATCCACTTGTAGATCCTGCAAAATGAGGGTTTCAAACCTGAACTTTCCAAGGAAGGTGCAATTCTGGGATTTGAATGCAAACATCACAAAGAAAATTCAGAGACTGCTTCTGTTTAGTTAGCTGAAATTATCCCGTTACCAACAAATTCCTCAGACAGGTCCAAATATCCACTTGCAGATTCTACAGAAAGTGTGTTTCGAAACTACTCCATCCCAAGGAAAGTACAGCTCTGTGAGTTCAACTCAATCATCCCAGAGGATTTTCTGAGAAAGCTTCTGTCTTGATTTTATATGAAGAAGTTATTTCCTTTAGTAGGATAGGCCTCAAAGAAGTGCAATTATCCACTTGCAGTTTCTACACAAAGAGTGTTTCAAACCTGAACTATCAAAAAAGGTTCAACACTGTGAGTTGAATGCAAACATCACGAAGAAGGTTCTGAGAATGCTTCTATTTATTTCTGTGCGGTTTATCCCGTTTCCAACGAAATCCTCAGAGAGGCCCAAATATCCACTTGCAGATTCTACAAAGAGTGTGTTTCGAAACTTCTCCATCCAAAGGAATGTTGAGCCCTGTGAGTTAAACTCAGTCGCCACAAAGGGTTTTCTGAGAATGCTACTGTCCAGTTTTTACATGAAGCTATTTCCTTTACTACCATAGGCCTCAAAGCGGTCCATATCTCCACTTGCAGATTCTACACAACGAGAGTTTCCAAAGTGCTCTGTCAAAGGGAATGTTCAACTCTGTGACTTGAATGCAATCATCACAAAGCAGTTTCCGAGAATGCTTCTATCTAGTTTTTACTGGAAGATAATTCCCTTTCCACCACAGGCCTCAAATCCCTCCAAATATCCACTTGCAGATTCTAGAGAAAGAGTGTTTCAAAGCTTGTCTCTCAAAAGGAATGTTCAACTCTGTGAGTTGAATGCAAACATCACAAAGAAGTTTCTGAGAATGCTTCTGTTTAGCTTTTCTGTGAAGATTATCCCGTTTCCAATGATATCTTCAAAGAGGTCCAAATATCCACTTGCAGATTCCACAGAAGGCGTGCTTGGAAACTGCTGGTTGAAAAGGAACCTTTAACTCTGTGAGTTGAATGCAACCATCACAAACAAGTTCCTGACAATGCTTCTCTCTAGTGTTTATGTGACGATAATACATTTCCCAACACAGGCCTGAAAGCTCTCCAAATGTTCACTTGCAGACACTCCGAAAAGCATGTTTCAGAACTGCTCTATGAAAAGCAATGTGAAACTGTGTGAGTTGAACGCAAACATCAGAGAGAAGTTTCTGAGAATGCTTCTGTTTAATTTTTATGTGAAGATATTCCCGTTTCCAAAGACATCTTCAAAGAGGTCCACATATCCACTTGCAGATTCCACAAAAAGAGAGATTCAGAACTGCTATATCCATAGGAGGGTTCAACTCTGTGAGTTGAAAGCAATCATCATAGAGAAGTTTCTGAGAAGGCTTCTGTCTAGATGTTATGTGAAGATGTACCCGTTTCGAACGAAGGCCACAGAGTGGTCCAAATATCCACTTGCAGATCGTACAGAAAGAGTGTTTCAAACCTGACCTATCAAAGGAAGTTTCAACTCTGGGATTTGAATGCAAATATCACAAAGAAGTTTCTGAGAATGCTTCTGTTTAGTTAGGTGCAGTTATCCCGTTTCCAACGAAATCCTCAGAGAGGTCCAAATATCCACTTGCAGATTCTACAAAAAGTGTGTTTCAAACCTGCTCCATCCAAAGGAATGTTCAGCTCTGTGAGTTCAACTCAATCATCACAAAGTATTTTCTGAGAATGCTTCTGCCTAGTTTTTATATGAAGCTATTCCCTTTAGTACCATAGGCCTCAAAGCGCTCCAAATCTCCACTTGCAGATTCTCCAACAAGAGTGTTTCCAAACTGCTCTCTCAATAGGAATGTTCAACTCTGTGAGGTGAATGCAATCATCACAAAGTAGTTTCTGAGAATGCTTCCATCTAGTATTTATGTGAAGATATTTCCTTTTCCACCACAAACCTCAAAGCCCTCCAAATATCCACTTGCAGATTCTAGAAAAAGAGTGTTTCATAGCTGCTCTCTCCGAAGGAAAGTTCAACTCTGGAAGTTGAATACAATCAGCACCAAGGGGTTCCTGAGAATGCTTCCGTGTAATTTTTTTGTGAAGATGATTCTGTTTCCAACGAAACCTTCAAAGAGGTCTACATGTCCCCTTGCAGATTCCACAGAAAGAGAGTTTCAAAACTGCACTCTCAAAAGGAGTGTTCAACTCTGTGAGTTGAATGCAGTCATCACAGAAAAGTTTCTGAGAATGCTTCTGTCTAGACGTTATGTGAAGATATACCCGTTTCGAACGAAGGCCACAGAGTGGTCCAAATATCCACTTGTAGATCCTGCAAAATGAGGGTTTCAAACCTGAACTTTCCAAGGAAGGTGCAATTCTGGGATTTGAATGCAAACATCACAAAGAAAATTCAGAGACTGCTTCTGTTTAGTTAGCTGAAATTATCCCGTTACCAACAAATTCCTCAGACAGGTCCAAATATCCACTTGCAGATTCTACAGAAAGTGTGTTTCGAAACTACTCCATCCCAAGGAAAGTACAGCTCTGTGAGTTCAACTCAATCATCCCAGAGGATTTTCTGAGAAAGCTTCTGTCTTGATTTTATATGAAGAAGTTATTTCCTTTAGTAGGATAGGCCTCAAAGAAGTGCAATTATCCACTTGCAGTTTCTACACAAAGAGTGTTTCAAACCTGAACTATCAAAAAAGGTTCAACACTGTGAGTTGAATGCAAACATCACGAAGAAGGTTCTGAGAATGCTTCTGTTTAGTTCTGTGCGGCTTATCCCTTTTCCAATGAAATCCTCAGAGAGGCCCAAATATCCACTTGCAGATTCTACAAAGAGTGTGTTTCGAAACTGCTCCATCCAAAGGAATGTTCAGCCTTGTGAGTTAAACTCAGTCGTCACAAACAGTTTTCTGAGAATGCTACTGTCTAGTTTTTCTATGAAGCTATTTCCTTTACTACCATAGGCCTCAAAGCGGTCCATATCTCCACTTGCAGATTCTACACAGCGAGAGTTTCCAAAGTGCTCTGTCAAAGGGAATATTCAACTCTGTGACTTGAATGCAATCATCACAAAGTAGTTTCTGAGAATGCTTCTATCTAGTTTTTACTGGAAGAGAATTCCCTTTCCAGCACAGGCCTCAAAGCCCTCCAAATATCCACTTGCAGATTCTAGAGAAAGAGTGTTTCAAAGCTTGTCTCTCAAAAGGAATGTTCAACTCTGTGAGTTGAATGCAAACATCACAAAGGAGTTTCTGAGAATGCTTCTGTTTAGCTTTTCTGTGAAGATTATCCCGTTTCCAACGATATCTTCAAAGAGGTCCAAATATCCACTTGCAGATTCCACAGAAGGCGTGCTTGGAAACTGCTGGTTGAAAAGGAACCTTCAACTCTGTGAGTTGAATGCAACCATCACAAACAAGTTCCTGACAATGCTTCTCTCTAGTGTCTATGTGACGATAATTCATTTTCCAACACAGGCCTGAAAGCTCTCCAAATGTCCACTTGCAGACAGTCCGAAAAGCATGTTTCAGAACTGCTCTATGAAAAGCAATGTGAAACTGTGTGAGTTGAACGCAAACATGAGAGAGAAGTTTCTGAGAATGCTTCTGTTTAATTTTTATGTGAAGATATTCCCGTTTCCAAAGACATCTTCAAAGAGGTCCACATATCCACTTGCAGATTCCACAAAAAGAGAGATTCAGAACTGCTATATCTATAGGAGGGTTCAACTCTGTGAGTTGAATGCAATCATCACAGAGAAGTTTCTGAGAAGGCTTCTGTCTAGATTTTATGTGAAGGTATACCCGTTTCGAATGAAGGCCACAAAGTGGTCCAAATATCCACTGGCAGATCCTACAAAAAGAGGGTTTCAAACCTGAACTATCAAAGGAAGGTTCAAGTCTGGGATTTGAATGCAAACATCACAAAGAAGTTTCTGAGACTGCTTCTGTTTAGTTAGGTGACGTTATCCCGTTTCCAACGAAATCCTCAGAGAGGTCCAAATATCCACTTGCAGATGCTACAAAAAGTGTGTTTCAAAACTCCTCCATCCAAAGGAATGTTCAGCTCTGTGAGTTACACTCAATCATCACAAAGTATTTTCTGAGAATTCTTCTGTCTAGTTTTTATATGAAGCTATTTCCTTTACTACCACAGGCCTCAAAGTGCTCCACATCTCCACTTGCAGATTCTACAAAAAGAGAGTTTCCAAACTGCTCTATCAATAGGAATGTTCAATTCTGTGAGTTGAATGGAATCATCACCAAGTAGGTTCTGAGAATGCTTCTGTTTAGTTATGTGAGGTTTATCCCTTTTCCAACTAAATCCTCAGAGAGGTCCAAATATCCACTTGCAGATTCCACAGAAAGAGTGTGTCGAAACTGCTGTTTGAAAAGGAATCTTCAACACTGTGGGTTGAACGCAATCATCACAAATAAGTTTCTGACAATGCTACTCTCTAGTTTTTATGTGACGATAATTCATTTTCCACCACAGGCCTGAAAGCTCTCCAAATGTCCACTTGCAGATATTCCGAAAAGCATGTTTCAGAACTGCTCTATGAAAAGCAATGTGAAACTCTGTGAGTTGAACGCAAACATCACAGAGAAGTTTCTGAGAATGCTTCTGTTTAATTTTTATGTGAAGATATTCCCGTTTCCAAAGACATCTTCAAAGAGGTCCACATATCCACTTGTAGATTCCACAAAAAGAGAGATTCAGAACTGCTATATCTATAGGAGGGTTCAACTCTGTGAGTTGAATGCAATCATCACAGAGAAGTTTCTGAGAAGGCTTCTGTCTAGATGTTATGTGAAGATGTACCCGTTTCGAACGAAGGCCACAGAGTGGTCCAAATATCCACTTGCAGATCGTACAGAAAGAGTGTTTCAAACCTGACCTATCAAAGGAAGTTTCAACTCTGGGATTTGAATGCAAATATCACAAAGAAGTTTCTGAGAATGCTTCTGTTTAGTTAGGTGACGTTATCCCGTTTCCAACGAAATCCTCAGAGAGGTCCAAATATCCACTTGCAGATGCTACAAAAAGTGTGTTTCAAAACTGCCCCATCCAAAGGAATGTTCAGCTCTGTGAGTTACACTCAATCATCACAAAGTATTTTCTGAGAATGCTTCTGTCTAGTTTTTATATGAAGCTATTTCCTTTACTACCACAGGCCTCAAAGTGCTCCACATCTCCACTTGCAGATTCTACAAAAAGAGAGTTTCCAAACTGCTCTATCAATAGGAATGTTCAATTCTGTGAGTTGAATGGAATCATCACCAAGTAGGTTCTGAGAATGCTTCCATCTAGTATTTATGTGAAGATATTTCCTTTTCCACCACAAACCTCAAAGCCCTCCAAATATCCACTTGCAGATTCTAGAAAAAGGTTGTTTCGTAGCTGCTCTTTCCGAAGGAATGTTCAACTCTGGAAGTTGAATACAAACAGCACCAAGGGGTTCCTGAGAATGTTTCCGTGTAATTTTTTTGTGAAGATGATTCTGTTTCCAACGAAACCTTCAAAGAGGTCTACATGTCCCCATGCAGATTCCACAGAAAGAGAGTTTCAAAACTGCGCTCTCAAAAGGAGTGTTCAACTCTGTGAGTTGAATGCAGTCATCACAGAAAAGTTTCTGAGAATGCTTCTGTCTAGATGTTATGTGAAGGTATACCCGTTTCGAATGAAGGCCACAGAGTGGTCCAAATATCCACTTGTAGATCCTGCAAAAAGAGGGTTTCAAACCTGAAATTTCCAAGGAAAGTGCAACTCTGGGATTTGAATGCAAACATCACAAAGAAGATTCGGAGTCTGCTTCTGTTTAGTTAGCTGAAATTATCACGTTTCCAACGAATTCCTCAGACAGGTCCAAATATCCACTTGCAGATTCTACAGAAAGTGTGTTTCGAAACTGCTCCATCCCAAGGAAAGTACAGCTCTGTGAGTTCAACTCAATCATCCCAGAGGATTTTCTGAGAAAGCTTCTGTCTTGTTTTTATATGAAGATATTTCCTTTACTACGATAGGCCTCAAAGAAGTGCAATTATCCACTTGCAGTTTCTACAAAAAGAGTGTTTCAAACCTGAACTATCAAAGAAAGGTTCAACACTGTGAGTTGAATGCAAACCTCACGAAGAAGGTTCTGAGAATGCTTCTGTTTAGTTAGGTGCAGTTTTCCCGTTTCCAACGAAATCCTCAGAGAGGTCCAAATATCCACTTGCAGATTCTACAAATAGTTTGTTTCGAAACTGCTCCATCCAAGGCAATGTTTAGCCCTGTGAGTTAAACTCAGTCGTCACAAAGAGTTTTCTGAGAATGCTACTGTCTAGTTTTTCTATGAAGCAACGTCCTTTACTACCATAGGCCTCAAAGCGGTCCATATCTCCACTTGCAGATTCTACACAACGAGAGTTTCCAAAGTGCTCTGTCAAAGGGAATATTCAACTCTGTGACTTGAATGCAATCATCACAAATTAGTTTCTGAGAATGCTTCTATCTAGTTTTTACTGGAAGATAATTCCCTTTCCACCACAGGCCTCAAATCCCTCCAAATATCCACTTGCAGATTCTAGAGAAAGAGTGTTTCAAAGCTTGTCTCTCAAAAGGAATGTTCAACTCTGTGAGTTGAATGCAAACATCACAAAGAAGTTTCTGAGAATGCTTCTGTTTAGCTTTTCTGTGAAGATTATCCCGTTTCCAATGATATCTTCAAAGAGGTCCAAATATCCACTTGCAGATTCCACAGAAGGCGTGCTTGGAAACTGCTGGTTGAAAAGGAACCTTTAACTCTGTGAGTTGAATGCAACCATCACAAACAAGTTCCTGACAATGCTACTCTCTAGTTTTTATGTGACGATAATTCGTTTTCCACCACAGGCCTGAAAGCTCTCCAAATGTCCACTTGCAGATATTCCGAAAAGCATGTTTCAGAACTGCTCTATGAAAAGCAATGTGAAACTCTGTGAGTTGAACGCAAACATCACAGAGAAGTTTCTGAGAATGCTTCTGTTTAGTTTTTATGTGAAGATATTCCCGTTTCCAAAGACATCTTCAAAGAGGTTCACATATCCACTTGCAGATTCCACAAAAAGAGAGATTCAAAACTGCTTTATCCATAGGAGCGTTCAACTCTGTGAGTTGAACGCAATCACCACAGAGAAGTTTCTGAGAAGGATTCTGTCTAGATGTTATGTGAAGTTGTACCCGTTTCCAACGAAGGCCACAGAGTGGTCCAAATATCCACTTGCAGATCCTACAAAAAGAGTGATTCAAACCTGAACTATCAAAGGAAGGTCTAACTCTGGGATCTGAATGCAAACATCACAAAGAAGTTTCTGAGAATGCTTCTGTTTAGTTAGGTGCAGTTATCCCGTTTCCAACGAAATCCTCAGAGAGGTCCAAATATCCACTTGCAGATTCTACAAAAAGTGTGATTAAAACCTGCTCCATCCAAAGGAATGTTCAGCTCTGTGAGTTAAACTCAATCATCAAAGAGTATTTTCTGAGAATGTTTCTGCCTAGTTTTTATATGAAGCTATTCCCTTTAGTACCAGAGGCCTCAAAGTGCTCCAAATCTCCACTTGCAGATTCTCCAACAAGAGTGTTTCCAAACTGCTCTCTCAATAGGAATGTTCAACTCTGTGAGGTGAATGCAATCATCACAAAGTAGTTTCTGAGAATGCTTCCATCTAGTATTTATGTGAAGATATTTCCTTTTCCACCACAAACCTCAAAGCCCTCCAAATATCCACTTGCAGATTCTAGAAAAAGAGTGTTTCATAGCTGCTCTTTCCGAAGGAAAGTTCAACTCTGGAAGTTGAATACAATCAGCACCAAGGGGTTCCTGAGAATGCTTCCGTGTAATTTTTTTGTGAAGATGATTCTGTTTCCAACGAAACCTTCAAAGAGGTCTACATGTCCCCTTGCAGATTCCACAGAAAGAGAGTTTCAAAACTGCGCTCTCAAAAGGAGTGTTCAACTCTGTGAGTTGAATGCAGTCATCACAGAAAAGTTTCTGAGAATGCTTCTGTCTAGACGTTATGTGAAGATATACCCGTTTCGAACGAAGGCCACAGAGTGGTCCAAATATCCACTTGTAGATCCTGCAAAATGAGGGTTTCAAACCTGAACTTTCCAAGGAAGGTGCAATTCTGGGATTTGAATGCAAACATCACAAAGAAAATTCAGAGACTGCTTCTGTTTAGTTAGCTGAAATTATCCCGTTACCAACAAATTCCTCAGACAGGTCCAAATATCCACTTGCAGATTCTACAGAAAGTGTGTTTCGAAACTACTCCATCCCAAGGAAAGTACAGCTCTGTGAGTTCAACTCAATCATCCCAGAGGATTTTCTGAGAAAGCTTCTGTCTTGATTTTATATGAAGAAGTTATTTCCTTTAGTAGGATAGGCCTCAAAGAAGTGCAATTATCCACTTGCAGTTTCTACAAAAAGAGTGTTTCAAACCTGAACTATCAAAAAAGGTTCAACACTGTGAGTTGAATGCAAACATCACGAAGAAGGTTCTGAGAATGCTTCTGTTTAGTTCTGTGCGGTTTATCCCTTTTCCAATGAAATCCTCAGAGAGGCCCAAATATCCACTTGCAGATTCTACAAAGAGTGTGTTTCGAAACTGCTCCATCCAAAGGAATGTTCAGCCTTGTGAGTTAAACTCAGTCGTCACAAACAGTTTTCTGAGAATGCTACTGTCTAGTTTTTCTATGAAGCTATTTCCTTTACTACCATAGGCCTCAAAGCGGTCCATATCTCCACTTGCAGATTCTACACAGCGAGAGTTTCCAAAGTGCTCTGTCAAAGGGAATATTCAACTCTGTGACTTGAATGCAATCATCACAAAGTAGTTTCTGAGAATGCTTCTATCTAGTTTTTACTGGAAGAGAATTCCCTTTCCACCACAGGCCTCAAAGCCCTCCAAATATCCACTTGCAGATTCTAGAGAAAGAGTGTTTCAAAGCTTGTCTCTCAAAAGGAATGTTCAACTCTGTGAGTTGAATGCAAACATCACAAAGGAGTTTCTGAGAATGCTTCCGTTTAGCTTTTCTGTGAAGATTATCCCGTTTCCAACGATATCTTCAAAGAGGTCCAAATATCCACTTGCAGATTCCACAGAAGGCGTGCTTGGAAACTGCTGGTTGAAAAGGAACCTTCAACTCTGTGAGTTGAATGCAACCATCACAAACAAGTTCCTGACAATGCTTCTCTCTAGTGTCTATGTGACGATAATTCATTTTCCAACACAGGCCTGAAAGCTCTCCAAATGTCCACTTGCAGACAGTCCGAAAAGCATGTTTCAGAACTGCTCTATGAAAAGCAATGTGAAACTGTGTGAGTTGAACGCAAACATGAGAGAGAAGTTTCTGAGAATGCTTCTGTTTAATTTTTATGTGAAGATATTCCCGTTTCCAAAGACATCTTCAAAGAGGTCCACATATCCACTTGCAGATTCCACAAAAAGAGAGATTCAGAACTGCTATATCTATAGGAGGGTTCAACTCTGTGAGTTGAATGCAATCATCACAGAGAAGTTTCTGAGAAGGCTTCTGTCTAGATGTTATGTGAAGATGTACCCGTTTCGAACGAAGGCCACAGAGTGGTCCAAATATCCACTTGCAGATCGTACAGAAAGAGTGTTTCAAACCTGACCTATCAAAGGAAGTTTCAACTCTGGGATTTGAATGCAAATATCACAAAGAAGTTTCTGAGAATGCTTCTGTTTAGTTAGGTGCAGTTATCCCGTTTCCAACGAAATCCTCAGAGAGGTCCAAATATCCACTTGCAGATTCTACAAAAAGTGTGTTTCAAACCTGCTCCATCCAAACGAATGTTCAGCTCTGTGAGTTAAACTCAATCATCACAAAGTATTTTCTGAGAATGCTTCTGCCTAGTTTTTATATGAAGCTATTCCCTTTAGTACCATAGGCCTCAAAGCGCTCCAAATCTCCACTTGCAGATTCTCCAACAAGAGTGTTTCCAAACTGCTCTCTCAATAGGAATGTTCAACTCTGTGAGGTGAATGCAATCATCACAAAGTAGTTTCTGAGAATGCTTCCATCTAGTATTTATGTGAAGATATTTCCTTTTCCACCACAAACCTCAAAGCCCTCCAAATATCCACTTGCAGATTCTCGAAAAAGAGTGTTTCATAGCTGCTCTCTCCGAAGGAAAGTTCAACTCTGGAAGTTGAATACAATCAGCACCAAGGGGTTCCTGAGAATGCTTCCGTGTAATTTTTTTGTGAAGATGATTCTGTTTCCAACGAAACCTTCAAAGAGGTCTACATGTCCCCTTGCAGATTCCACAGAAAGAGAGTTTCAAAACTGCGCTCTCAAAAGGAGTGTTCAACTCTGTGAGTTGAATGCAGTCATCACAGAAAAGTTTCTGAGAATGCTTCTGTCTAGACGTTATGTGAAGATATACCCGTTTCGAACGAAGGCCACAGAGTGGTCCAAATATCCACTTGTAGATCCTGCAAAATGAGGGTTTCAAACCTGAACTTTCCAAGGAATGTGCAATTCTGGGATTTGAATGCAAACATCACAAAGAAAATTCAGAGACTGCTTCTGTTTAGTTAGATGAAATTACCAAGTTTCCAACGAATACCTCAGACAGCTCCAAATATCCACTTGCAGATTCTACAGAAAGTGTGTTTCGAAACTACTCCACCCCAAGGAAAGTACAGCTCTGTGAGTTCAACTCTATCATCCCAGAGGATTTTCTGAGAAAGCTTCTGTCTTGTTTATATATGAAGTTATTTCCTTTACTACGATAGGCCTCAAAGAAGTGCAATTATCCACTTACAGTTTCTACAAAAAGATTGTTTCAAACCTGAACTATCAAAGAAAGGTTCAACACTGTGAGTTGAATGCAAACATCACGAAGAAGGTTCTGAGAATACTTCTGTTTAGTTCTGTGCGGTTTATCCCTTTTCCAATGAAATCCTCAGAGAGGCCCAAATATCCACTTGCAGATTCTACAAAGTGTGTGTTTCGAAACTGCTCCATCCAAAGGAATGTTCAGCCTTGTGAGTTAAACTCAGTCGTCACAAACAGTTTTCTGAGAATGCTACTGTCTAGTTTTTCTATGAAGCTATTTCCTTTACTACCATAGGCCTCAAAGCGGTCCATATCTCCACTTGCAGATTCTACACAGCGAGAGTTTCCAAAGTGCTCTGTCAAAGGGAATATTCAACTCTGTGACTTGAATGCAATCATCACAAAGTAGTTTCTGAGAATGCTTCTATCTAGTTTTTACTGGAAGAGAATTCCCTTTCCACCACAGGCCTCAAAGCCCTCCAAATATCCACTTGCAGATTCTAGAGAAAGAGTGTTTCAAAGCTTGTCTCTCAAAAGGAATGTTCAACTCTGTGAGTTGAATGCAAACATCACAAAGGAGTTTCTGAGAATGCTTCTGTTTAGCTTTTCTGTGAAGATTATCCCGTTTCCAACGATATCTTCAAAGAGGTCCAAATATCCACTTGCAGATTCCACAGAAGGCGTGCTTGGAAACTGCTGTTTGAAAAGGAACCTTCAACTCTGTGAGTTGAATGCAACCATCACAAACAAGTTCCTGACAATGCTTCTCTCTAGTGTCTATGTGACGATAATTCATTTTCCAACACAGGCCTGAAAGCTCTCCAAATGTCCACTTGCAGACAGTCCGAAAAGCATGTTTCAGAACTGCTCTATGAAAAGCAATGTGAAACTGTGTGAGTTGAACGCAAACATGAGAGAGAAGTTTCTGAGAATGCTTCTGTTTAATTTTTATGTGAAGATATTCCCGTTTCCAAAGACATCTTCAAAGAGGTCCACATATCCACTTGCAGATTCCACAAAAAGAGAGATTCAGAACTGCTATATCTATAGGAGGGTTCAACTCTGTGAGTTGAATGCAATCATCACAGAGAAGTTTCTGAGAAGGCTTCTGTCTAGATGTTATGTGAAGATGTACCCGTTTCGAACGAAGGCCACAGAGTGGTCCAAATATCCACTTGCAGATCGTACAGAAAGAGTGTTTCAAACCTGACCTATCAAAGGAAGTTTCAACTCTGGGATTTGAATGCAAATATCACAAAGAAGTTTCTGAGAATGCTTCTGTTTAGTTAGGTGCAGTTATCCCGTTTCCAACGAAATAATCAGAGAGGTCCAAATATCCACTTGCAGATTCTACAAAAAGTGTGTTTCAAACCTGCTCCATCCAAAGGAATGTTCAGCTCTGTGAGTTAAACTCAATCATCACAAAGTATTTTCTGAGAATGCTTCTGCCTAGTTTTTATATGAAGCTATTCCCTTTAGTACCATAGGCCTCAAAGCGCTCCAAATCTCCACTTGCAGATTCTCCAACAAGAGTGTTTCCAAACTGCTCTCTCAATAGGAATGTTCAACTCTGTGAGGTGAATGCAATCATCACAAAGTAGTTTCTGAGAATGCTTCCATCTAGTATTTATGTGAAGATATTTCCTTTTCCACCACAAACCTCAAAGCCCTCCAAATATCCACTTGCAGATTCTAGAAAAAGAGTGTTTCATAGCTGCTCTCTCCGAAGGAAAGTTCAACTCTGGAAGTTGAATACAATCAGCACAAAGGGGTTCCTGAGAATGCTTCCGTGTAATTTTTTTGTGAAGATGATTCTGTTTCCAACGAAACCTTCAAAGAGGTCTACATGTCCCCTTGCAGATTCCACAGAAAGAGAGTTTCAAAACTGCGCTCTCAAAAGGAGTGTTCAACTCTGTGAGTTGAATGCAGTCATCACAGAAAAGTTTCTGAGAATGCTTCTGTCTAGACGTTATGTGAAGATATACCCGTTTCGAACGAAGGCCACAGAGTGGTCCAAATATCCACTTGTAGATCCTGCAAAATGAGGGTTTCAAACCTGAACTTTCCAAGGAAGGTGCAATTCTGGGATTTGAATGCAAACATCACAAAGAAAATTCAGAGACTGCTTCTGTTTAGTTAGCTGAAATTATCCCGTTACCAACAAATTCCTCAGACAGGTCCAAATATCCACTTGCAGATTCTACAGAAAGTGTGTTTCGAAACTACTCCATCCCAAGGAAAGTACAGCTCTGTGAGTTCAACTCAATCATCCCAGAGGATTTTCTGAGAAACCTTCTGTCTTGATTTTATATGAAGAAGTTATTTCCTTTAGTAGGATAGGCCTCAAAGAAGTGCAATTATCCACTTGCAGTTTCTACAAAAAGAGTGTTTCAAACCTGAACTATCAAAAAAGGTTCAACACTGTGAGTTGAATGCAAACATCACGAAGAAGGTTCTGAGAATGCTTCTGTTTAGTTCTGTGCGGTTTATCCCTTTTCCAATGAAATCCTCAGAGAGGCCCAAATATCCACTTGCAGATTCTACAAAGAGTGTGTTTCGAAACTGCTCCATCCAAAGGAATGTTCAGCCTTGTGAGTTAAACTCAGTCGTCACAAACAGTTTTCTGAGAATGCTACTGTCTAGTTTTTCTATGAAGCTATTTCCTTTACTACCATAGGCCTCAAAGCGGTCCATATCTCCACTTGCAGATTCTACACAACGAGAGTTTCCAAAGTGCTCTGTCAAAGGGAATATTCAACTCTGTGACTTGAATGCAATCATCACAAAGTAGTTTCTGAGAAGGCTTCTATCTAGTTTTTACTGGAAGAGAATTCCCTTTCCACCACAGGCCTCAAAGCCCTCCAAATATCCACTTGCAGATTCTAGAGAAAGAGTGTTTCAAAGCTTGTCTCTCAAAAGGAATGTTCAACTCTGTGAGTTGAATGCAAACATCACAAAGGAGTTTCTGAGAATGCTTCTGTTTAGCTTTTCTGTGAAGATTATCCCGTTTCCAACGATATCTTCAAAGAGGTCCAAATATCCACTTGCAGATTCCACAGAAGGCGTGCTTGGAAATTGCTGGTTGAAAAGGAACCTTCAACTCTGTGAGTTGAATGCAACCATCACAAACAAGTTCCTGACAATGCTTCTCTCTAGTGTCTATGTGACGATAATTCATTTTCCAACACAGGCCTGAAAGCTCTCCAAATGTCCACTTGCAGACAGTCCGAAAAGCATGTTTCAGAACTGCTCTATGAAAAGCAATGTGAAACTGTGTGAGTTGAACGCAAACATGAGAGAGAAGTTTCTGAGAATGCTTCTGTTTAATTTTTATGTGAAGATATTCCCGTTTCCAAAGACATCTTCAAAGAGGTCCACATATCCACTTGCAGATTCCACAAAAAGAGAGATTCAGAACTGCTATATCTATAGGAGGGTTCAACTCTGTGAGTTGAATGCAATCATCACAGAGAAGTTTCTGAGAAGGCTTCTGTCTAGATGTTATGTGAAGATGTACCCGTTTCGAACGAAGGCCACAGAGTGGTCCAAATATCCACTTGCAGATCGTACAGAAAGAGTGTTTCAAACCTGACCTATCAAAGGAAGTTTCAACTCTGGGATTTGAATGTAAATATCACAAAGAAGTTTCTGAGAATGCTTCTGTTTAGTTAGGTGCAGTTATCCCGTTTCCAACGAAATCCTCAGAGAGGTCCAAATATCCACTTGCAGATTCTACAAAAAGTGTGTTTCAAACCTGCTCCATCCAAAGGAATGTTCAGCCTCTGTGAGTTAAACTCAATCATCACAAAGTATTTTCTGAGAATGCTTCTGCCTAGTTTTTATATGAAGCTATTCCCTTTAGTACCATAGGCCTCAAAGCGCTCCAAATCTCCACTTGCAGATTTTCCAACAAGAGTGTTTCC
Source organism: Homo sapiens (assembly GCF_000001405.40). NCBI lineage: Eukaryota > Metazoa > Chordata > Mammalia > Primates > Hominidae > Homo > Homo sapiens. The sequence continues at coordinate 26,576,727 of NC_000017.11, read as the reverse complement.
AAACTGCTCTCTCAATAGGAATGTTCAACTCTGTGAGGTGAATGCAATCATCACAAAGTAGTTTCTGAGAATGCTTCCATCTAGTATTTATGTGAAGATATTTCCTTTTCCACCACAAACCTCAAAGCCCTCCAAATATCCACTTGCAGATTCTAGAAAAAGAGTGTTTCATAGCTGCTCTTTCCGAAGGAAAGTTCAACTCTGGAAGTTGAATACAAACAACATCAAGGAGTTCCTGAGAACGCTTCTGTGTAATTTTTATGTGAAGATGATTCTGTTTCCAACAAAACCTTCAAAGAGGTCTACATGTCCCCTTGCAGATTCCACAGAAAGAGAGTTTCAAAACTGCGCTCTCAAAAGGAGTGTTCAACTCTGTGAGTTGAATGCAGTCATCACAGAAAAGTTTCTGAGAATGCTTCTGTCTAGACGTTATGTGAAGATATACCCGTTTCGAACGAAGGCCACAGAGTGGTCCAAATATCCACTTGTAGATCCTGCAAAATGAGGGTTTCAAACCTGAACTTTCCAAGGAAGGTGCAATTCTGGGATTTGAATGCAAACATCACAAAGAAAATTCAGAGACTGCTTCTGTTTAGTTAGCTGAAATTATCCCGTTACCAACAAATTCCTCAGACAGGTCCAAATATCCACTTGCAGATTCTACAGAAAGTGTGTTTCGAAACTACTCCATCCCAAGGAAAGTACAGCTCTGTGAGTTCAACTCAATCATCCCAGAGGATTTTCTGAGAAAGCTTCTGTCTTGATTTTATATGAAGAAGTTATTTCCTTTAGTAGGATAGGCCTCAAAGAAGTGCAATTATCCACTTGCAGTTTCTACACAAAGAGTGTTTCAAACCTGAACTATCAAAAAAGGTTCAACACTGTGAGTTGAATGCAAACATCACGAAGAAGGTTCTGAGAATGCTTCTGTTTAGTTCTGTGTGGTTTATCCCGTTTCTAACGAAATCCTCAGAGAGGCCCAAATATCCAGTTGCGGATTCTACAAAGAGTGTGTTTCGAACCTGCTCCATCCAAAGGAATTTTCAGCCCTGTGAGTTAAACTCAGTCATCACAAAGAGTTTTCTGAGAATGCTACTGTCTAGTTTTTATATGAAGCTATTTCCTTTACTACCATAGGCCTCAAAGTGGTCCATAGCTCCACTTGCAGATTCTACACAACGAGAGTTTCCAAAGTGCTCTGTTAAAGTGAATGTTCAACTCTGTGACTTGAATGTAATCATCACAAAGTAGTTTCTGAGAATGCTTCTATCTAGTTTTTACTGGAAGAGAATTCCCTTTCCACCACAGGCCTCAAAGCCCTCCAAATATCCACTTGCAGATTCTAGAGAAAGAGTGTTTCAAAGCTTGTCTCTCAAAAGGAATGTTCAACTCTGTGAGTTGAATGCAAACATCACAAAGGAGTTTCTCAGAATGCTTCTGTTTAGCTTTTCTGTGAAGATTATCCCGTTTCCAACGATATCTTCAAAGAGGTCAAAATATCCACTTGCAGATTCCACAGAAGGCGTGCTTGGAAACTGCTGTTTGAAAAGGAACCTTCAACTCTGTGAGTTGAATGCAACCATCACAAACAAGTTCCTGACAATGCTTCTCTCTAGTGTCTATGTGACGATAATTCATTTTCCAACACAGGCCTGAAAGCTCTCCAAATGTCCACTTGCAGACAGTCCGAAAAGCATGTTTCAGAACTGCTCTATGAAAAGCAATGTGAAACTGTGTGAGTTGAACGCAAACATGAGAGAGAAGTTTCTGAGAATGCTTCTGTTTAATTTTTATGTGAAGATATTCCCGTTTCCAAAGACATCTTCAAAGAGGTCCACATATCCACTTGCAGATTCCACAAAAAGAGAGATTCAGAACTGCTATATCTATAGGAGGGTTCAACTCTGTGAGTTGAATGCAATCATCACAGAGAAGTTTCTGAGAAGGCTTCTGTCTAGATGTTATGTGAAGATGTACCCGTTTCGAACGAAGGCCACAGAGTGGTCCAAATATCCACTTGCAGATCGTACAGAAAGAGTGTTTCAAACCTGACCTATCAAAGGAAGTTTCAACTCTGGGATTTGAATGCAAATATCACAAAGAAGTTTCTGAGAATGCTTCTGTTTAGTTAGCTGAAATTATACCGTTTCCAACGTAATCCTCAGAGAGGTCCAAATATCCACTTGCAGATTCTACAAAAAGTGAGTTTCGAAACTCCTCCATTCAAAGGAATGTTCAGCTCTGTGAGTTAAACTCAATCATCACAAAGAATTTTCTGAGAATGCTTCTGTCTTGTTTTTATATGAAGTTATTTCCTTTACTATGGTAGGCCTCAAAGAGGTCCAAATATCCACTTGCAGATTCTACAAAAAGAGTGTTTCAAACCTGAACTATCAAAGAAAGGTTCAACACTGTGAGTTGAATGCAAACATCACAAAGAAGGTTCTGAGAATGCTTCCATCTAGTATTTATGTGAAGATATTTCCTTTTCCACCACAAACCTCAAAGCCCTCCAAATATCCACTTGCAGATTCTAGAAAAAGAGTGTTTCATAGCTGCTCTCTCCGAAGGAAAGTTCAACTCTGGAAGTTGAATACAATCAGCACCAAGGGGTTCCTGAGAATGCTTCCGTGTAATTTTTTTGTGAAGATGATTCTGTTTCCAATGAAACCTTCAAAGAGGTCTACATGTCCCCTTGCAGATTCCACAGAAAGAGAGTTTCAAAACTGCGCTCTCAAAAGGAGTGTTCAACTCTGTGAGTTGAATGCAGTCATCACAGAAAAGTTTCTGAGAATGCTTCTGTCTAGACGTTATGTGAAGATATACCCGTTTCGAACGAAGGCCACAGAGTGGTCCAAATATCCACTTGTAGATCCTGCAAAATGAGGGTTTCAAACCTGAACTTTCCAAGGAAGGTGCAATTCTGGGATTTGAATGCAAACATCACAAAGAAAATTCAGAGACTGCTTCTGTTTAGTTAGCTGAAATTATCCCGTTACCAACAAATTCCTCAGACAGGTCCAAATATCCACTTGCAGATTCTACAGAAAGTGTGTTTCGAAACTACTCCATCCCAAGGAAAGTACAGCTCTGTGAGTTCAACTCAATCATCCCAGAGGATTTTCTGAGAAAGCTTCTGTCTTGATTTTATATGAAGAAGTTATTTCCTTTAGTAGGATAGGCCTCAAAGAAGTGCAATTATCCACTTGCAGTTTCTACACAAAGAGTGTTTCAAACCTGAACTATCAAAAAAGGTTCAACACTGTGAGTTGAATGCAAACATCACGAAGAAGGTTCTGAGAATGCTTCTGTTTAGTTCTGTGCGGCTTATCCCTTTTCCAATGAAATCCTCAGAGAGGCCCAAATATCCACTTGCAGATTCTACAAAGAGTGTGTTTCGAAACTGCTCCATCCAAAGGAATGTTCAGCCTTGTGAGTTAAACTCAGTCGTCACAAACAGTTTTCTGAGAATGCTACTGTCTAGTTTTTATATGAAGCTATTTCCTTTACTACCATAGGCCTCAAAGCGGTCCATATCTCCACTTGCAGATTCTACACAACCAGAGTTTCCAAAGTGTTCTGTCAAAGGGAATATTCAACTCTGTGACTTGAATGCAATCATCACAAAGTAGTTTCTGAGAATGCTTCTATCTAGTTTTTACGGGAAGTTAATTCCTTTTCCACCACAGGCCTCAAAGCCCTCCAAATATCCACTTGCAGATTCTAGAGAAAGAGTGTTTCAAAGCTTCTCTCTCAAAAGGAAAGTTCAACTCTGTGAGTAGAATGCAAACATCACAAAGAAGTTTCTGACAATGCTTCTGTTTAGCTTTTCTGTGAAGATTATCCCGTTTCCAAAGACATCTTCAAAGAGGTCCAACTATCCAATTGCAGATTCCACAGAAAGTGTGTTTGGAAACTGCTGTTTGAAAGGGAACCTTCAACTCTGTGAGTTGAATGCAATCATCACAAACAAGTTTCTGACAATGCTTCTCTCCAGTTTTTATGTGACGATAATTCGTTTTCCACCACAGGCCTGAAAGCTCTCCAAATGTCCACTTGCAGATATTCCGAAAAGCATGTTTCAGAACTGCTCTATGAAAAGCAATGTGAAACTCTGTGAGTTGAACGCAAACATCACAGAGAAGTTTCTGAGAATGCTTCTGTTTAGTTTTTATGTGAAGATATTCCCGTTTCCAAAGACATCTTCAAAGAGGTTCACATATCCACTTGCAGATTCCACAAAAAGAGAGATTCAAAACTGCTTTATCCATAGGAGCGTTCAACTCTGTGAGTTGAACGCAAATCACCACAGAGAAGTTTCTGAGAAGGCTTCTGTCTAGATTTTATGTGAAGATATACCCGTTTAGAATGAAGGCCACAGAGTGGTCCAAATATCCACTTGCAGATCCTACAAAAAGAGTGTTTCAAACCTGAACTATCAAAGGAAGGTTCAACTCTGGGATTTGAAGGCAAACATCACAAAGAAGTTTCTGAGACTGCTTCTGTTTAGTTAGGTGCAGTTATCCCGTTTCCAACGAAATCCTCAGAGAGGTCCAAATATCCACTTGCAGATTCTACAAAAAGTGTGTTTCAAACCTGCTCCATCCAAAGGAATGTTCAGCTCTGTCAGTTAAACTCAATCATCACAAAGTATTTTCTGAGAATGCTTCTGCCTAGTTTTTCTATGAAGCTATTCCCTTTAGTACCATAGGCCTCAAAGCGCTCCAAATCTCCACTTGCAGATTCTCCAACAAGAGTGTTTCCAAACTGCTCTCTCAATAGGAATGTTCAACTCTGTGAGGTGAATGCAATCATCACAAAGCAGTTTCTGAGAATGCTTCCATCTAGTATTTATGTGAAGATATTTCCTTTTCCACCACAAGCCTCAAAGCCCTCCAAATATCCACTTGCAGATTCTAGAAAAAGAGTGTTTCATAGCTGCTCTCTCCGAAGGAAAGTTCAACTCTGGAAGTTGAATACAATCAGCACCAAGGGGTTCCTGAGAATGCTTCCGTGTAATTTTTTTGTGAAGATGATTCTGTTTCCAACGAAACCTTCAAAGAGGTCTACATGTCCCCTTGCAGATTCCACAGAAAGAGAGTTTCAAAACTGCGCTCTCAAAAGGAGTGTTCAACTCTGTGAGTTGAATGCAGTCATCACAGAAAAGTTTCTGAGAATGCTTCTGTCTAGACGTTATGTGAAGATATACCCGTTTCGAACGAAGGCCACAGAGTGGTCCAAATATCCACTTGTAGATCCTGCAAAATGAGGGTTTCAAACCTGAACTTTCCAAGGAAGGTGCAATTCTGGGATTTGAATGCAAACATCACAAAGAAAATTCAGAGACTGCTTCTGTTTAGTTAGCTGAAATTATCCCGTTACCAACAAATTCCTCAGACAGGTCCAAATATCCACTTGCAGATTCTACAGAAAGTGTGTTTCGAAACTACTCCATCCCAAGGAAAGTACAGCTCTGTGAGTTCAACTCAATCATCCCAGAGGATTTTCTGAGAAAGCTTCTGTCTTGATTTTATATGAAGAAGTTATTTCCTTTAGTAGGATAGGCCTCAAAGAAGTGCAATTATCCACTTGCAGTTTCTACACAAAGAGTGTTTCAAACCTGAACTATCAAAAAAGGTTCAACACTGTGAGTTGAATGCAAACATCACGAAGAAGGTTCTGAGAATGCTTCTGTTTAGTTCTGTGCGGTTTATCCCTTTTCCAATGAAATCCTCAGAGAGGCCCAAATATCCACTTTCAGATTCTACAAAGAGTGTGTTTCGAAACTGCTCCATCCAAAGGAATGTTCAGCCCTGTGAGTTAAACTCAGTCGTCACAAACAGTTTTCTGAGAATGCTACTGTCTAGTTTTTCTATGAAGCAACTTCCTTTACTACCATAGGCCTCAAAGCGGTCCATATCTCCACTTGCAGATTCTACACAACGAGAGTTTCCAAAGTGCTCTGTCAAAGGGAATATTCAACTCTGTGACTTGAATGCAATCATCACAAAGTAGTTTCTGAGAATGCTTCTATCTAGTTTTTACTGGAAGAGAATTCCCTTTCCACCACAGGCCTCAAAGTCCTCCAAATATCCACTTGCAGATTCTAGAGAAAGAGTGTTTCAAAGCTTGTCTCTCAAAAGGAATGTTCAACTCTGTGAGTTGAATGCAAACATCACAAAGGAGTTTCTGAGAATGCTTCTGTTTAGCTTTTCTGTGAAGATTATCCCGTTTCCAACGATATCTTCAAAGAGGTCCAAATATCCACTTGCAGATTCCACAGAAGGCGTGCTTGGAAACTGCTGGTTGAAAAGGAACCTTCAACACTGTGAGTTGAATGCAACCATCACAAACAAGTTCCTGACAATGCTTCTCTCTAGTGTCTATGTGACGATAATTCATTTTCCAACACAGGCCTGAAAGCTCTCCAAATGTCCACTTGCAGACAGTCCGAAAAGCATGTTTCAGAACTGCTCTATGAAAAGCAATGTGAAACTGTGTGAGTTGAACGCAAACATGAGAGAGAAGTTTCTGAGAATGCTTCTGTTTAATTTTTATGTGAAGATATTCCCGTTTCCAAAGACATCTTCAAAGAGGTCCACATATCCACTTGCAGATTCCACAAAAAGAGAGATTCAGAACTGCTATATCTATAGGAGGGTTCAACTCTGTGAGTTGAATGCAATCATCACAGAGAAGTTTCTGAGAAGGCT
>NC_000017.11:26566733-26569914 GCF_000001405.40 Homo sapiens | reverse complement strand
GAAGCATTGGCAGAAACTTCTTTGGGATGTTTGCATTTTATGTTTGTTGAAATAGAGAGTTGATGACTGGAGCTCATTCAGGCATTTCAGTTCCTGAGGCGGAAGTCCTAGTCTGAGTATGATTGAACAGAAAGAGAGAGGAGCTTTGGTCCCTGATAATTTTATGAATTTCAACAGGATGCCTTTATCTTGATGTCTTTATATGAAAGCGAATCAATCTGTATCTTTCCTGGAAAGAGACAGAGAGAGACGGAGAGGGAGAGAGGGAGAGAGAGAGAAAGAGGGAGGGTCTGTTTAGTTAGGTGACGTTATCCCATTTCCAACGAAATCCTCAGAGAGGTCGAAATATCCACTTGCAGATTCTACAAAAAGTGTGTTTCAAAACTGCTCCATGCAAAGGAATGTTCAGCTCTATGAGTTAAACTCAATCGTCACAAAGTATTTTCTGAGAATGCTTCTGCCTAGTTTTTATATGAAGCTATTCCCTTTAGTACCATAGGCCTCAAAGCGCTCCAAATCTCCACTTGCAGATTCTCCAACAAGAGTGTTTCCAAACTGCTCTCTCAATAGGAATGTTCAACTCTGTGAGGTGAATGCAATCATCACAAAGTAGTTTCTGAGAATGCTTCCATCTAGTATTTATGTGAAGATATTTCCTTTTCCACCACAAACCTCAAAGCCCTCCAAATATCCACTTGCAGATTCTAGAAAAAGAGTGTTTCATAGCTGCTCTCTCCGAAGGAAAGTTCAACTCTGGAAGTTGAATACAATCAGCACCAAGGGGTTCCTGAGAATGCTTCCTTGTAATTTTTATGTGAAGATGATTCTGTTTCCAACGAAACCTTCAAAGAGGTCTACATATCCCCTTGCAGATTCCACAGAAAGAGAGTTTGAAAACCGTGCTCTCAAAAGGAGTGTTCAACCCTGTGAGTTGAATGCAGTCATCACAGAAAAGTTTCTGAGAATGCTTCTGTCTAGGTGTTATGTGAAGATATACCCATTTCGAACGAAGGCCACAGATTGGTCCAAATATCCACTTGTAGATCCTGCGAAAAGAGGGTTTCAAACCTGAACTTTCCAAGGAAGGTGCAACTCTGGGATTTGAATGCAAACATCACAAAGAAGATTCTGAGACTGCTTCTGTTTAGTTAGCTGAAATTATCCCGTTACCAACAAATTCCTCAGACAGGTCCAAATATCCACTTGCAGATTCTACAGAAAGTGTGTTTCGAAACTACTCCATCCCAAGGAAAGTACAGCTCTGTGAGTTCAACTCAATCATCCCAGAGGATTTTCTGAGAAAGCTTCTGTCTTGATTTTATATGAAGAAGTTATTTCCTTTAGTAGGATAGGCCTCAAAGAAGTGCAATTATCCACTTGCAGTTTCTACAAAAAGAGTGTTTCAAACCTGAACTATCAAAAAAGGTTCAACACTGTGAGTTGAATGCAAACATCACGAAGAAGGTTCTGAGAATGCTTCTGTTTAGTTCTGTGCGGTTTATCCCTTTTCCAATGAAATCCTCAGAGAGGTCCAAATATCCACTTGCAGATTCTACAAAGAGTGTGTTTCAAAACTGCTCCATCCAAAGGAATGTTCAGCCTTGTGAGTTAAACTCAGTCGTCACAAACAGTTTTCTGAGAATGCTACTGTCTAGTTTTTCTATGAAGCTATTTCCTTTACTACCATAGGCCTCAAAGCGGTCCATATCTCCACTTGCAGATTCTACACAGCGAGAGTTTCCAAAGTGCTCTGTCAAAGGGAATATTCAACTCTGTGACTTGAATGCAATCATCACAAATTAGTTTCTGAGAATGCTTCTATCTAGTTTTTACTGGAAGAGAATTCCCTTTCCACCACAGGCCTCAAAGCCCTCCAAATATCCACTTGCAGATTCTAGAGAAAGAGTGTTTCAAAGCTTGTCTCTCAAAAGGAATGTTCAACTCTGTGAGTTGAATGCAAACATCACAAAGGAGTTTCTGAGAATGCTTCTGTTTAGCTTTTCTGTGAAGATTATCCCGTTTCCAACGATATCTTCAAAGAGGTCCAAATATCCACTTGCAGATTCCACAGAAGGCGTGCTTGGAAACTGCTGGTTGAAAAGGAACCTTCAACTCTGTGAGTTGAATGCAACCATCACAAACAAGTTCCTGACAATGCTTCTCTCTAGTGTCTATGTGACGATAATTCATTTTCCAACACAGGCCTGAAAGCTCTCCAAATGTCCACTTGCAGACAGTCCGAAAAGCATGTTTCAGAACTGCTCTATGAAAAGCAATGTGAAACTCTGTGAGGTGAACGCAAACATGAGAGAGAAGTTTCTGAGAATGCTTTCTGTTTAGTTTTTATGTGAAGATATTCCCGTTTCCAAAGACATCTTCAAAGAGGTTCACATATCCACTTGCAGATTCCCCAAAAAGAGAGATTCAAAACTGCTTTATCCATAGGAGCGTTCAACTCTGTGAGTTGAACGCAATCACAACAGAGAAGTTTCTGAGAAGGCTTCTGTCTAGATGTTATGTGAAGATGTACCCGTTTCGAACGAAGGCCACAGAGTGGTCCAAATATCCACTTGCAGATCGTACAGAAAGAGTGTTTCAAACCTGACCTATCAAAGGAAGTTTCAACTCTGGGATTTGAATGCAAATATCACAAAGAAGTTTCTGAGAATGCTTCTGTTTAGTTAGGTGCATTTATACCGTTTCCAAAGAAATCCTCAGAAAGGGCCAAATATCCACTTGCAGATTCTACAAAAAGTGTGTTTCACACCTGCTCCATCCAAAGGAATGTTCAGCTCTGTGAGTTAAACTCAATCATCACAAAGTATTTTCTGAGAATGCTTCTGTCTAGTTTTTCTATGAAGCTATTCCCTTTACTACCATAGACCTCAAAGCGCTCCAAATCTCCACTTGCACATTCCACAACAAGAGTGTTTCCAAACTGCTCTCTCAATAGGAATGTTCAACTCTGTGAGGTGAATGCAATCATCACAAAGTAGTTTCTGAGAATGCTTCTATCTAGTATTTATGTGAAGATATTTCCTTTTCCATCCCAAACCTCAAAGCCCTCCAAATATCCACTTGCAGATTCAAGAAAAAGAGTGTTTCATAGCTGCTCTTTCCGAAGGAAAGTTCAAATCTGGAATTTGAATACAAACAGCACCAAGGAGTTCCTGAGAATGCT